>NC_000006.12:94567973-94718912 GCF_000001405.40 Homo sapiens | reverse complement strand
AACATGAGAGTACAAATGTCTCTTCAACATACTGACTTCATATCCTTTGAATATACCCAGTAGTAAGATTGCTGGATCATATGGTAATTTTATTTAGTATTTTTTTGTGGGATCTCCATACTGTTTTCCATAAGGGCTGTTCTAATTTACATTTCTATCAACAATGTCCAATAGTTCTATTTTCTCCACATCTTCACCAATAGTTATTTTTCGTCTTTTTGATAACCACAATTTTAATAGGTGTGCAGTAATATCTCAATGTGGTTTTAACTTGTATTTCTCTGATAATTAGTGATACTGAGTGTTTTTTTAATATACTTATTGCCAATTTATATGTGTTCCTTTGAGAAATGTCTATTCAGGCCCTTAGCTCATTTTTTAATCAGGTTATTTGTTTTCTTGATATTCAGTTGTTTAAATTATTTATAAATGTTAGATATTAGCCCCTTATCAGATATATGGTTTGCAAATATTTTCTCCTATTTTGAAGATTGTTTCTTCACTCTTTTGAACGTTCCCTTTGCTGTGTAGATGCATTTTAGTTTGATGTGAACCCATTTGTTAATATGTGCTTTTCTTGCCTATGCTTTTGCATATATATATATATATATATATACACACACACATATATAAATCATTGCCCAGACTAATGTCATGAAGTATTTCCTCTGTTTTCTTCCAGTAGTTTTGTAGTTTAAGTCTTACATTTAAGTCTTTATTCCATTGTTAATTGATATTTTTATATGGAATGATACTAGGATCTAATTAGTGTCTTCTGTATGTGGATATCCTGTTTTCCTAGCACTGTTTATTGAAAAGATTTCCTTTCCTCATTGAGTGTGTTTCACAACTTTGTTGAAAATCAGTTGGCTGTAAGTGTGTAGACTTATTACTGGGCCTTCCACCCTGTTCCAATGATCTATGTGTCTATCATTATGCCAGTAGCATGTTGTTTTGATTCCTAAAGTTTTACAGTAGGTTTTGAAGTTAGGTGATATCATGCTTTATTCTGTTTGTTTGAGATTACTTGGACTATTTAGGTTGTGTTGTGGCTCCATATGAATTTTAGAATTTTTTCCTCTTCCTGAGAAAACTAGCATTGGAATTTTGTTTAGGTGTTGGATTGAAATTGCTAATTGCTCTGAGTAGTATGGGCAATTTACATAGTTAACTTTAGCTATATAATTAACAATATGAATTCTTCCAATCCTTGAACATGGGATGCTTTTCCATTTATTTGTGTCTTCATTTTTATAATCAATGTTTCATAGCTTACAGTGTACAGATCTTTCACCTCCTTGATTAAATTTATTCCTGATTATTTTGGGGTATTTTAGCTATTGTACACGAGATATTACTTGATTTACTTTTCAGACAGTTATTTGTCAGTATATAGAAATATGACTGATTGTTGTATGTTGATTTTATATTCTTCAACTTTACTGAGTATCTGAGTTTGGGTTTTATTGGTAGAGTCTTTAGGGTGTTTTATATGTAAAATGATGTCATCTGCAAACAGATAATTTTAGTTCTCCCTTTCAATTTGGATGGCTTTTATTTGTTTCTCTTTTCTAATTGCTCTAGCAAGGACTTCCAGTATTGTGTGAATAGAAATGGCAAGAGTGGACATTCTTGTCTTGCTCATCATCTTAGAGGAAAACCTTTTTAATTTTTAACCAGAGTACATAAGCTGTGGTTCTGTTATATAGGACTTTTATTGTGTTAAGGTAAAGTCCTTCTATACCAAATTTGTTGATAGTTTTTATTGTGAAAGGATATTGACTTTTTTGAATGCCTCTTTTGCATTTATTAAGATGATCATATGACTTTTGTCCTTCATTCTGTTAATGTGGTATATCACCTTGATTAATTTACATAGGTTGAACCATTCTTGCATCCCAGGGAAAAATCCCACTTGATCATAATGAATAATCTTTTAATGTGAATATAATTCAGTTTGCTAGTATTTTGTTGAAGATTTTTGCATCTATGTTTATCAAGGTTATTATCCTGTAATTTTATTTTCATCTAATGTCCTTGTCTGACTTTTGTAGCAGGGTAATTCCAAAATTGTGAAATGAATTTGGAAGTATTACCTCCACTTTAATATTTTGGAAAAGTTTAATAAAAATTTATATTAATTCTTTTTTAAATGTTTGGTAGAATTCAGCAAATAAGCTATAAAGTTCTGGGCTTTTCATTGATGAGTGACTTTTTCTTACTGATCCAACCTCTTCACTCATTATTGGTTTCTTCAGATTTTCTATTTCTTCCTGATTTATTTTTGGTACATTGAATGGTCTAGTAATTCATTTGTTCTAATATCTATTTGTTGGAGAATAATTATTAATAGTAGTCTTGTGATTTTTATATTTCTGTAGTATCAGTTAGAATGCTCTCTCTTTCATTTCAATTTGTCTTCTCTCTGTTTTTCTTAGTAAATCCAGTTATAAGTTTGTCAGTTTTGTTTATATTTTCAAAACTGTTAGTTTTATTGAGTTTTTCTACTTTTTGTAATCACTATTTCATTTATTTCTGCTCTGATCTTTTTTTCTTTTTTTCTATTATCTTTAGACTTAGTTTGTTCTTCTTTTCCTATTTTCTTGTGATATAATGTTAGGTTGTTTATTTGAGATCTTTTTTCTTTTTAAATATTGGTGTTTATTGCTATAAACTTGCTTCTTAGAACTGCTTTGGTGTATTCCATAGTTTGGTAGTCAACATTTTATTTTTTATTATGTAGCTATATAATTTTGGCCATTATAACAGATATCTACTGATATTTTGTTGATTGAATATTCATTTCTATCATTGCCAATGATTTTGAATATCTCTTTCTTACTGGGTATCTTAACTTATTAGATGAAGTCTTCTCTAAATATTTTATATATATATATATATATATATTTCTTTTCCTTTGATTCGTAGGTGTACATAGGATCAGTAAGCAGTGTGAGCCCATATCTAGAAGTATCCAAGCACCTGCAAAAGTACCTAGCAGTGGAAAGTACCTAGTATATCATGTTACTGGCCAGCTTGGTTATGTCTCCAATTTGAGAAGTGACTTGGGACTAGAAAAAAGAGGTGAAAACACATTGGCCAAAAGTAAACCTATGAACAATAAATTTTATTTTATATTAAAATGCTTTATCGATACATAATTTTTGAACATAGTTTTGAGTACATGTAATATTTGGTTACATGAATAAACTGAGTAATAATCAAGTCAGGGCATTTGGGGTGTCCATTATCTAAAGTATTTATCATTTCTGTGTGTTGGGAACATTTTCAGTCTTCTCTTCTGGCTACTTTGAAAGATACATTATATTGTTGTTATCCAGATTCACCTGCTATTAGACTTTAGCACTTATTTCTTCTTCTAATTGTATGTTTCTACCCACTAACCTCTCTTTTTCAACCCCTCAAC
Organism: Homo sapiens; assembly: GCF_000001405.40. Classification (NCBI taxonomy): domain Eukaryota; kingdom Metazoa; phylum Chordata; class Mammalia; order Primates; family Hominidae; genus Homo; species Homo sapiens. Next base: position 94,715,485 of record NC_000006.12, on the reverse strand, counting down.
CACATACCCTTCCCACTTCGTAAGATCAACTTTGCTAGCTCCAACATGTGAGTGAGAAGATGTATTTTTCTTTCTGGGCTTGGATTTTTTCAACTTAAGATAATGACCATCAGTCCCATCTACGTTAATGGAAACGATATGATTTCATTCTTTTTTATGGCCAACTTGTATTCTGTTGTGTATACGTACAATGTTTTCTTTACCCATTCATCCATTGATAGAAACTTAGGTTGATTCTCTGTCTTTAATATTGTAAATAATTCTTCAATAAACATGCAAGTGGAAGCATCCCTTTTATATACTGATTTCCTTTACTTTGGGTAAATACCCAATAATAATATTGCTTTTAATATATAGTAATAGTAATATTACCTTTAATTTTTTGAGAAATCTCCATACTATTTCCTATAGTGGCTATACTTCTTGAAATTGCCACCAACAGTATATAAGAGTTCCTTCTTTTCTGCATTCTTGTGAGCATCTGTTATTTTTTATCATTTTACTAATAGCCATTCTAACTCAGGTAAGAAAATTTCTCAATATGGCCTTGATTTGTATTGCCCTAATTATTAGTGATGGCAAGCATTTTTAAAAAATATACCCCTTGGCCCTTTGTATGCCTTCTTTTGAAAAAATGTCTATTCATATTCTTTTTCCACTTTTAGTGGAATTATTTGCCTGTTTTTATTGTTGGATTATTTCAGTTCCATGTATATTCTGGATATTATTCTAGAATATGAAGAAAATAAGGATTTAAGAAAGTAAATTTATTTTCATTATTTGTATATTTTGTACATGTTGAAAAACTCTTGAAACTTAAACTTAACTTCCACTATAAATCTCATGATCTTAATACCAATACACTCTACTGATCTTTCTTTTTTCTTTTTTGCCTTTTTTTATTCTGATACCCTACACGAAAACTCTGATACAAATGTAATGATCTCAGTGTGTCATGCTTTGTTGCCTCCCATTACTATACTTATAGTCATGTCAAGTTTTTCTCTCTCCTTTTTTTCCTTTCCCAACACCAATGTCCTACCTTCTATTCCAGGTATGTAAAAATCCTTTCTGCAATTCAAGGCCCAAATCAATACCACTCTCCTATAAAGATTTTTCACTGTTTAAATGATTTCTATACATTTATAAGAATGATTGTATTTTATTTAGGCTGTTGATTTATTTTTATCACTTTTTTTTTTATATTTTTAGGAGGTATGTTTTTATTCATCTCTCTCCACATTGGACCATAAGTTGCTAAGAGCAAGAACTGTTGGTAATTCCTTGCCTTGTATATGTCAGTAATGAATGAATAACTTATGACTATATTATTAACTGATATAATAAATACCCTACTTGCCAATGCTCAGATTTTTCTGTGATTATAAGACCTATTTAGCTATTTTTGTAAAGGCCAGTTTTTAATTATCTAGTCTGTCAACAAGCTAATATTATGGTTTCCTTGGGAGAAAGTGAGTCATTAAGGATGAGCTAATACAAATTTATTTAGCTGATACTAGATTAATCATCCTAAATTTGTTAATCTGCCTACAATTTGGTTTCAGCATCCAGAAAAGCATACAATTTACAACTTGGAGCTTTTCTTTTGTATGTGTAAAATGAGGGCTTTGACAATCAAGCAACACTAAGCAGAAAAGATATAAAATCCAAACTTATTTCTTACTTCTGCTTTTGGCCACAATAGAAGAAATAGTTCTTGCATTGTCCTCCCATAATAAAAAAACAGAAAAAAATATCAGAAACAACTGTTTTTAGATACTAGACAACCAACCGTGCCAAAGAGGCAGATATCAGAGTTTAGGAGGCTCAGCAGCTGGAACTTGTGAATCAGATTACTGCACAAGAGAAAGCTACACAAAGAGCTTCAGGAATCTGAATGGGGTAATCTCAAGTCTTTCAGCAAATACTCAGCTGCATATGCATAGGATAAGAATTCACAAGACCTGGCAAATAATAATTTCTGGAGAAAAACAACAACTAGTAAGATTTAAACTGAAAACCTTCCAAAATTCAAATGAGTGTAAGATGCATAAGTTCCAACCAACCACATCAGAGAGGATTAACTGAACAACTATGGCTTTCACTAGGCTCCCAGAAGAGTCACCTCTGGTAGTAAAGCTTAAGTAACCCAAGAGTAAAGGCCTGCCCTAACAAAACTTAGAGTATCAATCTAATTCCCAAGTAGCTTAACTTCCTCCAAAACCAAAACTCATTTCACCTTAATTTATTTGGGAGTGCGGTGGTGCAATCATAGCTCACTGCAGTTTCAAAGTCCTTGGCTCAAGGGATCTTCCCATGTCAACCTCCCATGTAGCTAGCATTACAGGCACCCAGCAGACAGGTTCTTGTTTTGTTGCCCAGGCTAGTCTTGAACTCCTGACCTCAAGAGATCCTCCTGCCACTGCCTTTTGATCACTGGAATTACAGGTGTGAGCCGCTATATCCTACCATCAATCAACTTTAAACAATGCTACTCTTAGAAGCATTAGCTTAAAATTTACCTAAAACTACAAGTAGATTTTAAAAAAATCATAGTACTCAGTGAATCAAATATAAGAAACAGGTAAGTTTGTAACATAATACAAAAGTATATTAATTATAAGAACAAACAAAAACAAACAACCAAAAATGATTGTGTAGAATGATTATCTCTAGCAGGGTAAAGGGTGGGTAGGGAAAATAATAAAGTATGTGAATGAAACAAAATAAATGAAATAAGAGAATGTATTTGCAGAGACCATGGAAATAATGTGACATTCACTAATGAGTATGATTGACACAACCCTCCCCTAATGAAGTAAAAAATAAATGGCTTGATAATATCATATTTGGAAGAGGATCTTTTAGCTAAGTTCCATAAAACCAAAACAAATCACATGCTGAACATTTTTTAATTTAAGTAATCTAAAACATCAATGTGTTTCACTTCCCTTGCATATGGACTTGCTTTAAATTTACCTGAATAATCAGAACAGTTGCTCCAGTTTGTCATGATTTAATTTCCACTTACTGGCTGACATATTCCTCAGAAGATATTTTTCTCATCAGTTAAGTGGCCACGTGTAAAACTCCATAGTCTATCTAGATGAGGAAGAAGAAATCAGAGGAAGAAAATAAAAGAGAAAATGCAAAATAATAGAAAGATGAGAGATGAAGAAAGTAGTTGAGGGAAGATGAAGCAGTAAACAGGTTGTTAGCCTGACAACCTGGGAATTGCAAACCCTTCCCTTTTAGCGTTGATTTTTTCCATTTGTTGCTCTCTCTTCATTCTGTAAGAAAATATTTTGATTTACTAATAGTATATTCACCGAATTGTAAACCTTACTTTGTTTTCACCAAATTAAATCTTGTAGAGGAGTTTTATTCAATCTAGCTAGATGGTGAAGAATGGATGTAGGCAAGTAGGAGGTAGTTTCGCTATGTTCCTCCATACCTCAGGTCAGGTCTCATCTTCTCTTCCTCTACACATTTCTATCAGCAGAAACACAATTGCTGATTTCAGAAATCCAAAGGATCCATATGTGCCACCTTGGAAAAACTGATAATAAATGTCACTACTACAGATAAATTTGATATAGTAAATAAGTTAACATATGGACAGAGAAAAAGAAGTTAAGGAAAAAATAGAGGTGAAGAGAAACAAATATAGTTAATCTGGTGCCAAACCGTCCAAATGCTATTGGATTTGGAGGCACAAAAGAGGACAAGATGTAATTTTCACAAATATATAATATATATAAATATATGATATATAAAAATATATAATATATATAAATATATGATATATAAAAATATATAATATATATAAATATATGATATATAAAAATATATAATATATATAAATATATGATATATAAAAATATATGATATATATAAATATATCATATATAAATATATGATATATAAAAATATATAATATATATAAATATATCATATATAAATATATGATATATAAATATATCATATATAAATATATCATATATAAATATATGATATATAACTATAATATATAAATATATGATATATAAATATAATATATAAATATATGATATATAAATATAATATATAAATATATGATATATAAATATATAATATATAAATATATGATACATAAATATATAATAATATAAAATATATAATATAAATATATATATATTATATATATTATAATCACATATATATTTATCCCCTAGTTTTTTATTTTATTATAACATTATAATACATTTATATTTATTTAGAAACAAAAATGTAGTAACATATTATACACAAAAGCAGGCTTTGTGAAAGGGAAGAGATCTGATAGGCCTAGAGAAGGTGGTGAAGGCAAGAGACTAAGAGTAACAAAACAAAACTAAGAGCCCGATAGACTTTTCTTTCTTTCTTTGATTATAAATATGGGAATGTTTAGTTTACATGTATAAATATATTTGATTCATACAAATATGTATTTGGTTATATATATTACATAATAGTGTGTATAATATTACACTCACTTTTTAAATAATGCCTGCAGTTTCTTTTTCTTTCTCCCTCTGCTTTTAATAAATGGTTCCTCCAGCAGCTTCCCTCCCTGTGAGTTCTGCACCAACCACCACTGATAATTGCTCCTGTTAAGCATAATGTTTTCACAGCTGCAAGCAGGATTTTTAAATAGCAAAGGTGCATTGAAGCCATCCTCAGCAATTAATAAATATAATAATAACAATATTTGCACTTGTGACTTTTTACTCTGAGCAGATGAAAGCACTTCACAAATAAACATGTGTTATTAGCCTAATTTTTTACAGATGGAGAGGAAAAATCCACTAGATTTAGGTTAAGGCCACCTAAATGACTTTGCCCAAGATTGCCCAACAAATCAGTTGCATGACCTTGAATACAACCAGGACTCCACTCAGGGCTTTCTCCAAAGGCCCTGCTTTGCTTTGTAAAAATCCAGCACCTATTAGCGTTTGAACTTTAAATGAGCACCATTTAATGCAATCATTTGTAATAACATTTGCCATAAAAATCATTGTGTAGGTTCTGATTTCCATTAATTTTTTTTCCATAAAAAGACAAACATTACATTTCAGAAAGATTTTACAGAAAAAAAAAAGACATTAAATCAAAACCTGAACACTAGATTTATCCTCTCCGGAGGCTTGCCAGTGACGTCCAGTTGTGCAAAGGAGAAACAGTGGACAAAAGAGAAGTGCTCAGTGCTGGCCTGGACAGCTTGCAGAGGATAGAAAGCATGAAGAGCCAGGGTGTTTGTTCAAGAGATGTGTTCCTAGCCAACTCCCTAAGCTCCTGAGCCTTTTTAGTTTGTTAACATAGAGAGATTAGATACTTATAACATTATATCACATATTCACACACAGTGCCCAAAGGCTAACTTGTCTACTGGTTAATAAAGTGTGCTCCACTTTCAACTAATCTATAAATTCTGCATGTTTCATGCAAAAACGTGAATTTCATGCTGCATAATTATATCCGTAATTCTGTATTGTTTAAAAGACTGCAAAAGTAATTTTTAATTCCTCATCTTAATCTTCACAAACATATATGCCCTTTGGTTTGAACATTTTGACAAAGCCTCTGACCCTAACACAGATGGTTGTTGCCTACTGGGACAGTCTCCCACTAGTCTTCTCCCTGCCAATATGGTAACATTAAATCAAAATCTATTAAGATTTTAATAATTGCATTTGTTGATTTTTAAAGTTTAGATAAATCTACCTACTCATAATTATATTTTAAGTCATTATTTTAAATTAAAAACAGTACATACAAGGCTTAAATATCAGAATAGTTTTGTACTAAACTGAAATGTAGCTGCTTCCTAGCAGGATTATACAAAGGACACTTTCCAAAAACCTATACATTATTTCTTTTAAGAGTTAAGAACAACTGAAACACAGGTGGATGCTACATTTTTTTTTCAAGAAGAATTTTTCTGACCCTAAATACACTTCCAAAATAAAACAAAAGTTAGATAATTATGAAAAAGGCATAAATTTATATAAATATATGTGTATATATGTGTATATATGTGTTATATATGTGTATACGTGTGTGTGTGTATATATATATATATATGCTATAATAGGACAGTATCTGATACCTGCAAAATCCGCCTTATATTACAGAAAAATATTCTGTAAGAACACAGAAGAACAAATTATAACTTCTTTTATAGGATGCTGTAAATTATAAAGCTCTAATAATGTATATCATATTTAAGTCCTGTAACAATCCTGCACAATAAAATTTATAATGTTCTTTAAAAGATCTCCTTTTGCTTTTTTGTTAACTGATATTTTAATTCAAGAAAATAAATATGCTTAGGTTAAGAAAATATTAAATAATAATGACATACATAAAACCAAATGTATAAGATTAATCTTCACAATCCTTCAGTTTTACGCTGAGTTAAACAAATTAACAAAACACATATATTCCTATAATCTATACATATATTTACATATGTATCTTATTATTGCCATTGTATAATGAAAACTTATTATGCATACTCTCTAAAAACTTTATTCAAAATTTATAGTAGAATTTTGTGGACTTCATAGACTGATACAAGTAGATATATCTTGTTCTGCTAAAAATCTGCTTAATATCTATACAATTCCCTCAATTGCTAGATATTTCTTCTTTTTTTAGGTGTGCTTCAATTTTAAGTAATGTTTCAAAGACTAATGAACATCAACTACTACATACTTTCTTGAATATATCTCCATAAAATAGTTAAGGTGTAATTAATGTGACAGAAACTGTATCAAATTTAGAATGTAATAGATATTACCAAATTTTCATCCCATAGTTTCTATGAATTTATAATCACTCTAAGTTTATAAGAGTATTCAGACAAATGTATTTTTATTGGATTAAATAAGTATTACATACAACTCAAAATAATATGGCTAGAAACCTCTAATATTGTGTCTAAAAAACTATAGTGAAATAACTATAAACACATTGAGACACTCCCCAAACCAGGCTGTCAGACAATTTAATTGCTGAGTGAAAGTATCAATATTAATTAAAGACATATGGATGAAGCCAGATTGAAAAAAAGAATGCATCTAGGCTTCAACTCTTGGCCTAACATGGCCATGTTTTTAAAACAGACTATATAAAAAAGGCAAAACAAGAATTAGGCATTCCTCTTCACTAACTGATTTCTGAAACTCAGGGCATGTAAAACTCAGAAAACTGGACAACACTCAACCTGTATTTTTGTATTTTGTTTTTTGGTCTCCATGAGCCATCACTACTTTTTGGATAGCAACATTTGAAATCCTTTCAGAGTGAGTGAATAAATCACAGAATATATTTGTGCAGAAACAGAGGGCCAGGGAGGAAGTTCGAAGAAAGAATGGGGTAAAAACTATTCTTTCTATTGTTGGTGGTATAGTTTCTCAGATATATATTGGAGGAAAGGTTGAAGATAAAAGCAATGCTAGTTAATTGTGCTTGCTAGAGGACCCTGGTTTTCACATTATTTGCAACTTTTAGAGAGATAAGTAATAAGGAAGGCTGATGAAAGCCTAAAGAAATTTAAAAAGTGTTACTGGGAACATGTCATATCAACTTGCTCTGTATCTCAACATGAAAAAGAGATTTTAAAAAAATTGTCAAAAATCATACTGACAATGGGAAACAAATACATATCAATAAAATAAGAGGACATATTACCTTTTGAGGGGGAGAAAATCTATCCTGAAAAATAGACGAGAAAGGGAATAACACATCCGACTACTCCTGAAATAAAGATCTAATTCAGGATCCCAACTTCCTAACTTTCAGAAAAATATTTGGCACTTTCATGAGCATGAAAAAAAGTTACCTTCATGAAATATGAACAGAAGAGGAAAATATCATTTAGAAAAAACAGTTAAAAATGAAAGACAGTGTGAAATGGAAATAGAATGAAATTAAAAGAAAATAAAATAATACAGGAAAAATAAAATAAAACATAGTAGTATAATTAATATCTACTAAATTGTGGTAGCATAATGAAATATGTAAATCCCCAAATGAAAAGCCAAACTTATATTAAAGAAAATTAATAAGGTAAAAAAATTTTGCGAAACACTCACAAAATGCAAATGCTAGAGTTGAAAAAAATCATGGAGGACATTTTATATGTGTATTTCAGATAATGAATATACAATTGTTATTATTATTATTTTTTGAGACAGAATCTCACCCTGTTGCCCAGGCTGGAGTGCAGTGGCATCAGCATGGCTCACTGCTGCCTCAATCTGCGGCTCAGGTGATCCTCCCACCTTAGCCTCCCTAGTAGCTGTGACTACAGGCATGCGTCACCATGTCCATCTAATTTTTTGTATTTTTTGTAGATACGGGCTTTTACCATGTCACCCAGGCTGGTGTTGAACCCCTAGACTCAAGCAATCCACCCTCATCATTCTCCTGAAATGCTGAGATTACAGGCATAAGCCACTGCACCCAGCCTACAAGTAATTTTTACTTGATATTCTTGAAGATTAGACTAGGGCAAACAAAAGAAATGCAACAAAGTAAGAGTAGAAAAATAAACTGAAGAAACCTCAATTGATATTTTAAAAGAAAATACATACATTAATGCACACCACAACTGTATTATAAGAATAAAGAAAAATCTCGTTGAATTATATATATGTATATACAAAAACTTTAGCAAATGCAAATGTAAGTAGACAGAAAAAAATAGTAATATTACACATGTATGTACTTCTCAATCTCTAGCAGATCAACTGGGAAAAACATATATAAAGATATACTTAATGGTATGAAACTATGTTTGATTTATTGGATAAAGTACATAAATTTTTATTTCTTTTTTATTTACATATATTTAGTATATAATTTTCTTGTCTTTGAGTTTTTATATCATTTTTTCGCTTAATTATAATTAACATACAGAAAAATACACAGGTCTCAAGTATAGAGTTTAATGAGTTGTGACTTATGCCCATAGAACTGATACCAATATTAAGATATAAAAAATTTTATCACCTCAGAAATTTCTCTCGTGTCCCTTCCTATTTAACATACTTTCCAATAGGCAAACAATTTCCTATCTCTTTTATTAACCTAGCTTAGTTTTTGCCTGTTCTGGAACTTCATCTTAATCATATTAGAAGGTAAAGACTCTTTGTCTAAGCTCACCACAATTTTTGTGAGATTCAACCTTTTGTTGCATAAAATCATTGTTTTTTCCTTTTAACTACTGAAAGTATTCAATGTTGTGACTTTTTTACAATCTATCCAATCCTTTTATAATAAACTATTTCCATTTTTTGACTACTATCAAGAAATTGAGAAAGCTTCTATGCAGATGATTTTAGAGGCTATAATATGTTTTTATTTCACTTGTATAAATACATGAATAGAACTAACTCATAAGGTAGATGTATCTTTATAAGAAACTGTCAAATAATTTTACCGAGTGTTTATGTAAGTTTACACTTTCACCAGTCAATAGAGGAGGAGTTGGTATGCTACAAATCCTTGCCAACATTTGGAGTTTCTGTGCTTTTAATTATAGCTTTTCTGGTGGGTACATAGTGGTAGTTCATTATGCTAAAATTTGCATTTTTCCTAATGAGTATTGTCAAGCACTTCCTTATATGTTCATTGGCCATGTGCCTATTTTCCTTTTAGAAGTGTGTTAATAATTTTAATTTGGTTATTTGTATTTTATTTATAACATAATGTAAATATATTTATATGCTTTAGATAATGTAAGAATATTATAAATATATAAAATATATAATACATTGTTATTTATATGTAAATGTATTTTTAATCATAGAATAAATAGTTTAGATAATGTAAGAATATTTTATATATTTATAATATAATACATAATAATTATATATTTATATAATATAAATAAATATAAAATAAATATAAATGTATATAATATTCTTACATTATCTAAATATATATTGTAATCATTTATAAGTAAATTATATTTATTTATATATTTTTTATAATCATTTATGGTAATTATTATTTTATTATCATAATTTACTGTAATACTACTCAACATTGTATTGCTAGTGCAATAAGATGGTAATAGAAAAAATAAACAACATAAAGATGAGAATGAAAGTGAAACTGTCTTTATTGTATGTATTGTATGTATTATATTGCATACCTACAATAAAGACAGATAAATAAAAATATTGTAGGTGCAAACCTTAAGAGACCTAGAAAAAAAGGTTTTAGGAAGAGTTATTTTAGCAAGTAAATTTACCAAGGTCACTGGATTCAAGATAATACACAAATGCCATTTGTAATTCAGTATACTTGGATCTGCCATAATAACTTAAAAATAGAATGCTGAAGAATACATTTAGTGACATGTGTTTAAGCAGGGAAATACAAAGCATTGCAATGATTGATTTAAGAAAATATAGATGAAGGAGATGTTTTGTTAATGGATTGTTAATGAATTAAAATACTTGAAATAGTTAAGTTGTAACTCTGTTCAATTGATTTGTGATTGAAATCAATATTCTAGTTTTTATAAGTAATTAACAGGCTAATTTAAATTTTTTAATGAAAAGACAAATAATTTAAAAATTTAAAACAGCCTTAAAAATGAACAAGATGGGCAAATGTGATGGTTTAATTCCATTAAAATTTAAAGATTACTTAACCAAATGGTGCTGAATAACTGTATGTGTATCTGTAAAGAAAACTAGTTGGGTCTTGGATTTTTATTGTTACTTCTTAATCCCTTCTGAGAGTGGTTGAAGTTGTTTGTATATCAACATTTAATTACTAATATTGGGTTAGGGTATACCATTTTATAATTTGTTGTGTAATTGACTTCCTTTTTTTTTAGTTTATCTGTTCCCCCTTTCTTGTTCTGTATTTTGAAGGAATTTATTAGAATTTCCAAAGAAAAAATGCGTTTTTTAGCATATGCTTAATTTGGTATCTTGTATTTTATTTAAGAATTGGCTTTTTGGCAGGGTGTGGTGGCTCAGGCCTATAATTTAAATTAGCCTGTGGCACTTCGTGAGGCCGAGGTGGGAGGATCATGAGGTCAGGGGATCGAGACCATCCTGGCTAACATGGTGAAACCCCGTCTCTACTAAAAATACAAAAAAAATTAGCCCGGCTTGGTGGCGGGCACCTGTAGTCGCAGCTACTTGGGAGGCTGAGGCAGGAGAATGACGTGAACCAGGGAGGCAGAGCTTGCAGTGAGCAGAGATGGCTCCATTGCACTCCAGCCTGTGCGACAGAGGGAGACTCCCTCTCAAAAAAAAAAAAAAAAAAGTATTGACTTTTTTCCGTAAGTGAGAATTACAAACCTCACCATTATACCTTCTTTTTTGCAAACAATTATGAAAATCAACAAGTCAGTTGATTTTGCAGTATAGAAAACTTAAATCTTTTTTTAATAAAGAATTTATCTTTTTTTAAAAAAATAAACGTGGGGACTAGAATAATGGCTTTTTTTTTTTTTTTTTTTGCCAAACACACTTTGTGATGTGCTAATTTGTAATTTTTTGATTTTTGCTATTGTGATGGTTACTTTTGTGGGTCAGCTTGGCTCAGATAAGGGAAGCCCAAATACCTCGTCAAACCCTTTTTCTGGACATGTCCATGAGGATGTTTCTGTAAGACATTAGCATGTGAATTTGTACACTGAGTAAAGATCACCCTTACCAATGTGGGCGGCACTCCCTATTCACTGAAGGCCTGAACAAGAACAAAATGTGGAGGAAGGAAACATTTACTCCCTTTGCTTGAGCTGGGCCATCCAACTTGTGGAACATTGGTGCTGCTGACTCCTGTTCCTTTAAACTCAAAATGACTTACACCATTGTCTGTCCTGGTTATCTCATACACCACCAGCTTTCTGGAGTTTCCAGCTTTCACAGGGCCGATGCTGGAACATCGCAGCTTCTATAATTGTGTAAGGCTGGTCACTTATAATACTGTCATGCATTGCATAAGGATGTTTTGGTCAAGGACAGATTGAATTTATGATTTGGGTCCCATAAGATTATGATGAAGCAGAAAATTTTCTATTGCCTGTTGACTTTGTAACCATCATGACTTCTGAGGGCAATGCGATACTCACCCGTTTGTAGTGATGCTGATGTAAACAAACCCCCTGTGCTGCCAGTCAAATAAAAGTAGAACAGGTACAATTATGCACAGTATGTATTACATGGTGATGATAATAAACAACTATGTTACTGGTTTATGTATTTACTTTACTTTTTATTATTTTAGAGTGTACTCTGTCTACTTATTTAAGAAAAAAATGTTAACTTTTAAACAGTCTCAGGCAGGTCATTTAGGAAGTATTCCAGAAAAAGGCATTGTTCTCCTAGGAGGTGACAGCTCCATACTTGTTATTGCCCTTGAAGACCTTCCAGTGGGACAAAATATGGCAATAAAAGACTGATATTGATTATCTGGACCCTGTGTAAGCCGAGGCCAATGTGTGTGTTGGTGTCTTCGTTTTTTATAGAAAAGTAAAACAACCCAAAGTCTTTAAATAGGAAAAGCTTATAGAATAAGAAAGAAAATATTTTTGGTACGTTGTACATTTGTGTTTTTAGTGAATTATTACAGTCAAAAAGCTGAAAAATAAAAAGTTGATTAAAAGTTACAGAAAGCTAAGATTAATTTATTATCAAAGAAAGAAAAATTTAAAAATAAATTTAGTATAGGCTAAGTGTACAATGTTAACAATTCTACATTCATATACAGTCATGTCCTAGGCCTTCACCTTCACTCACCACTCACTCACTGACTCAGCCAGACCAACTTCCAGTCCTGCAAGGTCCATTCATGGTAAGTGCCCTCTGCAAGTGCACCATTTTTTATCTTTTATGTCATATTTTTTTACCTTTTCAATGCTTAGCTATATTTATATACACAACTATTTACCATTGCGTTATAATTGCCTATAGCATTCAGTATAGTAACATGCTATACAGGTTTGTAGCCTAAAAGTAATAGGCTATGACATATGGCCTAGGTGTGCAGTAGGCTATACTCTCTAGGTTTGTGTAAGTAGACTCAGTGATGTTTGCATAATGATGAAATCAACTAAGGACACATTTCTTAGAATGTATTATTGTTAAGTCACACATGACTGTAAATATCTTTCTGTGTATCTCTATCTATCTATCTATCTATCATCTATCTATCTATCTATCTATCTATCTATCTATCTATCTATCTGTATTTTATTGGCTCTGTTTCTCTGGAGAACCCTGACTAATACAATGATTTTGGCAGCTTTTATCAGGATTAGGTGTGCTTCATAATTAAGTAGCTATCGATTGTTTTCTAAGTTCTATCTGTATACAGATATATAGATATATATCTTTATATTTAGTAGATATTACCCTCATTTATAAAATTATAAACTAAAACTCAGAAAGGTTAGATGATTTCCAAGGTCATGCACCTAGTAAAGAATGATGTCAGAGTTTGACTCCAGACCATATTATTTCTAAGACATATTTATAAAACAATATATAGCATTATATCTTCACAGACATTGCTTTTATGGAGCTTACACTCTCTGTAGCAAAATACTCATTTATAAAACAATTTGATACAAAAAATTGATATTATTAAGTAATTAAAGTAGACAGAAATGTAATATTAACTAATGTTCATTTAGGTTTCTTGTTTATATTTGAAATTATCAAAAGCCAACTTGGAAATTTTGAATCATTCTCTAACTTCTTTGGAGAATGAATTGGAAATATTTTCCAACTTCAGACGCAAATGCATCAAACAAAGGACTAAGTCATTAATTGAAAATAGAATTATTGACTCACTTTTAAACTTTGGAATAAATTTCTAGTATATAAATTTAGTTATTTTTGAGGTTATTAATAGTACAATCACAGATATGTCATACAAAAGTTCCCTCAACATATTTCATCACATTTTTTATATAACTTAGAATTGTTCTGTCTAAAAAATATTACTTTACATTTTCTTTTTTATTTTCTGTAGTAGCTCTTAACCACCATTCACCGCTTCTATAGTTTATTATTCTAATTGAGAAGATGTGAAATGATGTACCTCAACCACCTGAGTTGTAAAACTACCACGTTTACCATGGGAAATGGGATCTCTGTTCCGGGACTTTCCATTTTCATATTTAGAGAAAGCTTATATAACTGGGGTGAATTTGTGGAAAAATATGTGAAACGAACAAGTAGATGAGATGTTCCTTTCCTCTAAACCATTGAACACGCATTTCTTATTGAGAAATGTAAATTATCATCTCTCTGTGAAGTATATTTGAGGAAAGGGCATTCAGCAGTAAGTGGAAAATGCAGTTCTCTGGCAGTAGCTATACGAGCTACTTTTAACTTATTGGGGGAGGGAGGAGTACATAATGTGATTTTCTTGCTGTGAATTATATTCTCCACTATAAATTCACAGAGGAATTTCATGAAATAGACAACTTTACCAGTGCCTATCTACATTCAGGAAACATTTGAATTCTGTTAAGTAATTTGTTTAAAAATATGGATTGATTGGTTTATAGATGGTTGATTAATGAAATATGGTCTATGTGCTACGCCTGAGGTCTACAATTCTGAATGTATATTTAAGTGAAGAAAATATCTTTTCTTTTTATTTCTGGAGATTCTTTTCTTGTAAGTGGAAAGAATGATCTATATTTGTTCAGACCTGGAGAAGAAGTGAAACAATTTTTCAGGGTAGATGTAAGTAAAAGAGAATTTTTAAACTAGTTCCTAGATTTAGTGCATGCAATGGAAGTCATGAAAATACAGGGAGATCTTGAATTAGAATGATATTCTCTAAAAGGCCCCCATTCTCATTCACGGGTTAAAAAAAAGCAAGAAGACACCAATGAGTATAAAGTAATTGGTACTTTATAGAGATATAACATTTATGTGCTTAATATAAGATTATTTTTATATATTATACATTATTAATTCATAATTTAAAATATAATTTTGAAGAAAAAGTTCTTGTCTTAATTTTGTTATTCAGCAATATTTACATTTTAGTATCTAAGTAACACATTTAGGGAGGCATTTTCCTGAGTGACTGAAAATATTAACACATTTAAAATTCATAACAGCTCTGAGAGAGATATTACTATTACCACTACTTTCAATTGAGAAATTTAGGAAACTCTGGTAAGGAACTTTCCAAAGGTCTTACAACTAGGAAGAAGTGTACTTGGAATTTGAATTTAAGAAGCTATATTTGAGTCCGTTTTCTGTTGTTTGGTTTGGTATAGTGCATTCCCATGCATCTTTCACCCAGTTTCAACAACTAGAAATATTTATCTGATTTTTTCCAACTATATCCCCCACCATATGCTTGCTTCGTATCTTTGTGTGTGTCTGAGTGTGTGTATGTGTGTGTGTGCGTGCGCAGTAGTAGTAGTAGATTAAAGCAAATCTCAGAAATATCCTTTCAGTATTAACACTACTATTATTTCTAACAGATAAACTTTCTTTATATACACAACCTTAATTTAGTAACCCCAATCAACACAATAATAATTTCTTAATATTATCTAATAATACATATTTGATATTCTAATGTCACTGTTTCAAATATATATTTTAATTGTTGGTTTGCGTTAATTAAGATCAGTCAAAATTCATACATTGCATTTGGTTGATATGTCTATATTTTTTTCGTAGGGCATCCAATTTTCTTCTTTGTTTTTTCAGGTGACTTATTTATTGAATACATGGGCTAACTTGTCCTGTAGAATGTCCCAACCTCACATTTGATAAGTTCTGCCAAATACAGTGAGTTGTGTTACAGGATATTAACATTAAGTTTAGGAAACCCTAGCTGCTCATAATGGACAGTAATGACAATAACCTATTGCTTTGGAGGAAGACATTATTTTCACTATAAGAGACACAAAGTGTTTCTCTACTCTTGAGGGAGATACTCTATCTTTCAAGGTTGTCTTTTATATAAATATCATTGAAAACATAGCCTGGAACAAAAGAACCATCACTGTCTTATTCAAAATACATGCAGAAAAATGAAAGACCTGTGCAGAATTGTCTCTTCACAATATCCACCCTTCATTTTTGCAATGTCTTGAATTCTGGTGAATTTTGCCACAGTGCCACTTCATCAGCAACTCCGATTAATCTGACCTACAGAAACTAGGCTAAATCTATACAATTATCTCATACAACATTTAATTAAGGCCATTCTAAATAAGATTCCAAGCAGCCTAAAGAGTACAACCTTAAGTATTGACCACAAATATGTCATCTAAGGTACCAGACACAGCTAAACAACAACAACAACAACAGAAAATGCGTTTTAACTTAGAAAGCCTGGTGTCATTCTCTATAAGTTTTAGTATTGACATTTCCACTTTGCTGGAGACATTAATCCAAGCACAGCAAGATGATTTAGTGATTGCACTGACTCTTCCTTGGACTATGAGAAACAAGTCTCAGGCAATCATTCATAACAACCATGACCAGTGAGTTCAGGCAGAACTGAATGCCTTCCAGGACCAATTCAGTATAATTGATGACTTTGGTTAAAGTCAGTGATAAATTTTGTACTATGGTTTCTAATCTATTGACTCATGTTGTAGAGATAACAGTCTTCAAGGAATACATAAATAATGAACATATTTTCCTTTTAGGAAGTATCTCTGAGTAATCTAGGGAGTCTCATTTTGAAAAAAGATAGTCACAGTCATCCAGTTTAGTGTTTTATAAAACATTACAAAGTATCTAACATCTACCCCTAAGATGTAAATGACTATATTTTTGGGAAGGGACAAATTGATTCATTTTTACCAGACAAAAAGCACAATTCCAGAGACATGTATGATTTCCCAGGATAGGAATTCTTGGGGTCTCAAAAATGCAAATAGTATTCATTAGGAGGGGGCAGAGATTGACAGTGCTTCCAACGTAGTCTCCAAGATAACTCATATGCTTTCCAGGTTTGATTTTAATAATTGATCAAATTCACTTTCGAAGGACATGTTCAAGTCACCAGCAGGATGGCGTCTGTCTGTCTCAAAGAATGACTGACTATACGGAGGTGGGTGGAAAAGGTGTCCAAAGATATTGACAGTTGTTTAGGGTTGCAGGTGAAGGAGCTAGGGTCATCTCCTGTTTTAATAGTTCACCAGTAAAGGAAAGATAATTGTAATAATATTTTGATTGGAGCCATCTGTCAAAATCTGGTAGATCTGACAGCCAGATAAATTAAAACTGCTTGCAATTGTTTGGGAAAGCGATATTAAGAGGGGGTTCATTTATGAGGATGAAGGTGATTATGAAAGATAAGTGTACTTAGCATTTCTCCCTCACCTTTACTCTTAGTGTTTACATTATTGCCTTCCCAAGCGATGAGAGGGTTCTTTCTTCTCTCCTATCGCAAAACAAGTATGTCCCTTTGTAGTAGTTACAACTTCCCCTGTTTTCCAATCATACCTTATGAGCAAGCAGAACTTTCTCCAGAACGATCAGGAGATTTTGAAAATAATTGAAATTATTTGAACTGAAATTGAACGAGAAAAAAATTATATAACATAGCATCTCAGAGTTTTAAGAAAATAACACACTAGTAACATATGCATGATTGGTATTTCAGAAAGAGAAAAGAGAAAGGATACAATAAACACTGAAGAAATAATAGCCAACACATTTGCAGATTTAATGACTGGCATCAACCACAGAAACAAGAATCTCATGGAAGAAAGCAAGAAAAATAAGAAAATAAACAGCAAGAAAAATATCTAGAAATTCATTTTTGAACTGCTAAAAACTAGACACAAATAGAAAAATTAGACACAGCTAGAGTACCTGCACAGAAACAACAAAAATCATTAAAGATCTTTTTCAGAAATCATTTAGGTGAGAAGACAATACAATTACATCATAAAGCGCTGTTAAGGGAAAGAAATCTTCAGTATGTAATTCTATAACCAGGTAAACTAGTATTTAAAAAAATGATAAAGGGTGACATCAGCAAACCGAGCATGGAAGAGATTGCTGGAATTTGTTTCCACCATAAAAATGTCAGTGAACTGGCAAAAAAAAAAAAAAAAAGATCAATTCTATTTTTTTCAAAAATCTGGATATAAAGCAAAAGCTTGGAACAACTCGGAATACTTATTCAGAACAGTGACAACAACGATTTAAGTAAGAACAGTGAACAGTTTTAGGGGGGTTTAAACTGCCGCTACATGTTTCCTGAAATCAAACAGTCCACACTCATGGTAAAAACTAGCAGCCTGGCAGCCACTACAGAAATGAGTACCATTTAAATCTCCTTGAAAGTCTCATTTCCAAAGAATTCTCACTGCTTACCTGTCTTGTGGTTTCATAGAAGACCCTCACTTGCAGAGAGTGCATTTATCTGACCTGCCTCGGAGCTCACTCAGGACAAACAGCCTTTTCTCAGAGTGTTTGTGAAAATTATCAGCAGCAAATGTTTAACACGGTAGCTGCTTAGGATTCTGATTACCTTTGTGGAAAACAAATGTTGAAAACCTGCAAGAAAGAGCTAGTGAATGAGATATCCACAGAGAGCTTTGAAAAGCTCTGTATGTTCCTGTGAATCTAGAACCCTGTACGACATTGTGCATGCCCAGGGTTTGCGCACATCCTGGAAAGACCTTATAATGTCCAAAGCGTGTAGCTGTGGCTTAGCTTAATATGCCGCACAAGCAAAAAGTGAAGGATGATACAGAGTTGTAAACTGCTTGCTTGTACAGTGAGGGCATACCTCAGAACATATTCAAGTCATCTCAGCAAAAATCAGAAGATATCTTGTTAGAAGCATTTAAGGAAATCTCTGTATAATCATTAGCTGGTCACTGAACCCACCAAGCAGAGACTTCAATGGACACACATGGCAAGGGAAAGAGACTTTACAAAATTAGTTTAGAAAAGTGACTCAGCAAACAAACAACTGCTAGTACAATAAACAGTAACCACTACAAACGCTGGGGAGAGAGTAGAAGCTGATTTCCACAGCTGTCAAGTTACATAATTTAAAACATCCAGTTTTCAACAACAAAATAATATTAGGAGGTATACAAATAGTATGACCAATACATGAGAACAAGAGTAGTCAATATAAACAATTAATGAGGAAGGTGACACTGGACTTAAGAGACAAAGACTTTATATCAGCTATTTTAAATGTATTCGAAAAACTAAACTATGCAGGAAAGAGTGAAAACAATGTCTCACAAAATAGTGAATATCTATAAAGAATCAGAAGTCGTTTTTAAAAAGACGTAAATAGAATGTCTGGGGTTAAATATTACAATAACTGAAATAAAAACTAACTAGAGGGGCTAAAGAGCAGAACTAAGCAGAAAGAGAGTCAGCAAACTTGACTATAGGACTATAGAAATTATCTACTCTAAGGAACAAACAGGAAAATGAACAAAAGAGAAGGAGCATGTCGTCAGGATAAACCATATATCAGGCCATTAAAACAAGGCTCCAAAAATTTAAAAAGGCTCATCACCCTTTTCATCATTATCATAATGGTTTAAGAAAGTTTGTTCTCCAGCCACAATGGAAGGAAGTTAGACATCAATAACAGAAGGAAATTTGAGAATTTCACAGACACACAAAAATTTAAAAACACACCATTATGTAGTGAGTCATTCTCTGGATGATTTATGTAACAAACTTATACCTGCCAAATAACTGAATATTATTCTTTTTCATTGTTTTCTTTTAGATTCATCGATGTACAAAATGCAGTAAATATGCTAAAATCATCAGTGGTTACCTTAAATACTTTGATAGAATTATTTTAAATATAATCAATTAATTAATGTGGACTTTGCTAGGAAATTTGACTACTTATTAAAATCTATATATCCTTATTGAATATTTGATCAACCTAGAAATAATGCTGTCAATATCAATATTCGAAGCAAGTTTTTAATGTTGTATTCAAAATTTTTCACTGCTACGGAAAATTAGATCCATTTATACTTATGGCATGGAAATAAATGAAAACATGTAATTGTTCTTATTTAGACAGCACAAATACAATGATTTGAAGTTGGCAGACTTTTACAGCATAGGAAGAGGACACCTCCAACTTTATTAAAAATTTATTTTGACTAAGTTGTTTCAAAGTACAAGAAATACCACGAGTAGTAGTTTCAAAATTTCTATTTTAGAGGGAGTTGGTGATAGGGTAAAATGAAAAGATGTTAGTTGTAGAGTACAAACTTCAGTTATAAGATGAATAAATTCCAGAAACCTAATGCACAGTATGATAACTATAGTTAATAATAAGTAAAAGTATTGTAAACTCGAAATTTGCTAAGAGAGTAAAGCTTGTGTTTTCGCTGTAGAAAAGTAACTGTAAAGTGACAAATATATTAATTAACTTGATTGTGTAATCATTTAATAATAATATGTATATCAAAACCTCATGTTTTAAATCTTAAATATATACAATTTTTATTTGACAATTATACCTCAGGAAAGCTGGGGGGAAAAGGAGGCAATTAGGAGACCCAGTCTAATTGGAAGGATGTTTTTAAAGATATGTTTATATAGCAAACATGCTGTTTGTCTTTCTAGTTGTTATTTACATGGAATGGCCTAGTGGGGCAGATAGAGATGGAAAATAAAGAACCCTCAAACATCCTTATATCTATCACTTAATAGTACTCTGTAGAAATAGTCTTGTGGAAACAGAATTGATCTTTTTAGACTTATGGATGCTTTTTGGAAGTTGATTTGCAATGCAGAGAACTGTTTTTATGAACTCATCTATGGTGCTGGGATACACTAAGCTAAGTAGATACAGTTTTATTCAGATACTGAAAATTGCATTTCTATGTGTTGGGATTTGTGCTCTGAGCTCTCCAGTATTAATGGAGGCAGGAATCATTCCTGTAAAAATATTCCTATGTTATAGAAAATAAGAAATGCACTGTCCTAGAACAGAGCCACTCGAACTGGTATTCTTCCTTGTAATATGTTATAGCAGCTAAAAGTCAGTCACTGCACTTCTCCAAAGTGGGAAACAAGTAAGTAATTTTGGAGAGAAAAAAAATGGAAGGAAAATAGTCTTAGAAAAGCTGCACCTGTTTACCGTAGCTTAGCTGTAGGTAATTCCACAAAATAAACGCATTCAGCATTGTGAATAAACTGTGAAGTGATTTTTTAAAAAATATTCCCTTTAATTGTAACTGGCACTTGTGAGCTTAATACTGGAGGCAGCTGAAAAGTGATATAAGTGTTAGTTAGCTATAGCAATGTGGGACTCCAATACAGGTGACTGGTTATGGTTTAATAATCCTAAAAAGGACACGTACGTAAACCAAATGTTTAATTTCACATACTGAACATCAAAGGTACTTTTTTCCCTCCTTCTCACAGTAAAACTACTTTTAACACAGTCTGGAAATTGGTTTACAGACTTTTCTTGTAGCCAAAGACATGAGAACAGAAATTCTGGCCATGTGACTGCCTAAAGCTGTAGCCCTTGGCCTGCCATAGATGATTAAAAAGGTTCTATATAGAAAGAGTCAAGACTTTTTTGGTCTGTGTTTCTAAGCAAGTGTGGTTTGGAACAGTTTAAACAGAGAGAGACCTATATTCTTGGAAACCTTGACTATTTTTTTACTTTCTTTTTCTTTCCAGCTGGATGGAACCTCTGCTTTTTTCCAAATCAGGTGCCTGTCTAGAAGAAAGCCAAATTTTTAGAAATTAGATGAAAATAACACTTGTTATTTTATATTTTCAAATGTAAAATAGCCACTGAAAGGCAAGGGCAACTTAGGTTAAAAAAAATGTGTAAGTTGGCTTGAAATTGCAGGGAGGAGTTAAAAGTATAGATATGTTGTAAATCATATGGTAAAAGTGTCACATCCTACCCAAAGTCACACATGTTTTCTTTAATAGAGAAGTCACTCCTTTCATTCAAAGAGTATGTCCCTGTAGCTAGTCACATCCATTTAGTTTAGTGTTCAACAGCTTGCCAAAGCAAGAGTCTTTGTAGGCTTAAGTGTATTCATATGTTCATAAAAATGACACACTCATTAGCAACTAGAGACCAAAGAAAGTTTGCATTATAGCCACTCCTCCCCCATAAAAAACTTACAAATAATGAATAGCAGTTGAAGTGTTTTTCTTTTATTTTGTTTTTTGAAGTCTAACTTTATTGATCATGGGTTTATATTTAAACCCTTACATAGTACAGGAGGACATGGAGTCACACTTCCCCATTCTCGATCCATTTTCTGTTTGAACTTGAGCAAATTATTTAATCTCTGTCTCATTTTATTAATCTGTAAAATTTAGAAATAATAATACATAATTTATGAGGTTATTTAGGATTAAATAAAATATGTATCTGAAGTTTTACGACAAAGCTTGGTATGCAGAACCACACCTGAACGCAGCAGGCACTCAGCAAAGGCACTCAAGCAAGGTTATTTGTTGTTACTATCATCACAATTTATCCTTATGACAAACCTATGAATAGGCAATCTTACTGGCAATTTAAACATGAAAAAATTGAGAATTGGCAATGCCATGCTATTTTCTTAATTGCATTCAGAGATTCTAAATGGTAGAGCAAGGTAAACTGGATCTCAAGATAGGTATCTCCAAGTAAAAAGCTGACAAATCTGCACTTCTCTCCAGCTTGTCAAATTACATTCAACACAAATACATTGATAATGAGGTATGTGTCAGGTCCTGTGCTTAGATCCAGGCAACTGAAGATAAATAAGGCATGATCCATCATGTAACAAGATCAAATTTTTCACAGACACTCACATGTTAAAATGAATCATTTATATGTTAAAGCCCTCACTAGAAAAGTGAAGTAAAGGTAAAAGCATCACCTCAGTGTGGCAGTGTGGAGTGTTGTCTGAGGACCTGGAAGATAAGCACAAAATACTCACCATCCTCAATCAGGCTGGCATAAGTAGAATCTATTTCTTTAGTCAGACACATTTTTTTTTTCTTAATTGAAATCCCTGAAAGCAGAGTCCAGTCTAGTAACTTACCTATAGTAAGTGTTTTTTGTTTGTTTGTTCTTATTCTTTTAAGTAACTGGAAATCTTTTATACTCAGACCTACAGTTTTGGATATCCTTGTAAAATTTGCTATTTCTGATATGGTTTGGCTGTGTCCTCACCCAAATCTGATTGTGAACTGCAGTTCCCATAATCCCCACATGTTGTGGGAGGGACTCCGTGGGAGGTAATTGAGTCATGGAGCCAGTTACTCTCATGCTGCTTCTGTTCTCTTGATAGTGAGTTCTCACCAGATCTGACAGTTTTATAAGGGGCTTTTCCCCCTTTTGCTCAGCACTTCCTGATGTGTCATGTGAAGAAGAATGTGTTGGCTTCCCTTTCCAACATGATTATAAGTTTCCTAAGTCCTCCCCAGCCATGCCGAACTGTGAGTTAATTAAACCTCTTTCTTTTATGAATTACCCAGTCTCAAGTATATCTTTATTAGCAGCATGAATACAGTAAATTGGGTAGTAGGGTTCTGCTGTAAAGATACCCAAAAATGTGGAAGCAACTTTGGAACTGGGTAACAGGCAGAAGTTGTAACAATTTGGAGGATTCAGAAAATGATACAAAAATGTGGGAAAGTTTGGAACTTACTAGAGACTTGGAGGGCTCAGAAGACCCAAAGATGTGGGAAAGTTTGGAACTTCATAGAGACTTGTCAAATGGGTTTGACCAAAATGCTGATAATGATATGCACAATTAAGTCCAGGCTGAGGTGGTTTCAGATGGAGGTGAGGAACTTGTTGGGAACTGGAGCAAAGTTCACTCTTGCCATGCAAAGAGACTGGCAGCATTTTTCCCCTGCCCTAGAGATTTGTAGAACTTTGAGCTTGAGAGAGAGAATTTAGGGTATCTGGCAGAAGAAATTTCTAAGCAGCAAAGCATTGAAGAAAAAACAGAGCACAAAAGTTTGGAAAATTTGCAGCCTGAAAATGCAATAGAAAATAAAAACCCATTTTTCTGAGGAGAAATTCAAGCTGGCTGCAGAAATTTACATAAGTAACAAGAAGCCAAATGTTAATCACGAGGACAATGGGGAAAATGTCTCCAGGGCATGTCACAGATCTTCACAGCAGCCCCTTCCATCACAGGCCTGGAGGCCTGAAAGGGAAAAATGGTTTCCTGGGCTGGGTCCAAAGGTCCCCTATTGTATGCAGCCTCAGGGCATGGTGCCTTGAGTTCCAGTTGCTTTAGCTCCAGCTGTGTCTCAAAGGGGCCAACATACAGCTCAGGCTCTTGCTTCAGAGGGTACAAGCTCCAAGCCTTGGCAGCTTACATGTGGTGTTGGCCTTGTGGGTGCACAGAGGTCAACAATTGAGGTTTGAGAGGTTTCAGAGGATGTATGAAAATACTTGGATGTCTAGGCAGAAGTTTGCAACAGGAGTGGAAACCTCATAGAGAGCCTCTGCTAAGACAGTGCAGAGGGGAAATATGGGGTTGGAGCCCCCACACAGAATCCCCACTATGGCACTGCATACTGTGAGAAAAGGGCCACTGTCCTACAGACCCCAGAATGGTAGATTCACCAACAGCTTGCATTATGCACCTGGAAAAGTCACAGGCACTCAATGCCAGCCCATTAAAGCATCTGGGAGGGGAGTTATATGCTGCAAAGCCACAGGGGCAGGGCTGCCCAAGGCTGTATGAGCCCACCTCTTTCATCAGTCTGCCTTGGATGTGAGACATGGAGTCAAAGGAGATCACTTTGGAATTTTAAAGTTTAATGACTATCCTATTGGATTTCAGACATACATGGGGTCTTTAGCCCCTTTGTTTTGGTCAATTTCTCCCATTTGGAATGAACATATTTACTGAATGCCTGTTCCCTCATTGTATCTAGGAAGTAACTAATTAGCTTTTGATTTTATAGGCTCATAGGCTGAAGGGACTTGCCTTGTCTCAGATGAGACTTTGGACTTGAACTTTTGTGTTTGTTAATGCTGGAATGAGTTAAAACTTTGGGCAACTATTGGGAAGGCATGAATGTGTTTTGAAGTGTGAGGACATGACATTTGGAGAGGGCAGGGGCAGAATAATATGGTTTGGCTGTGTCCCACCCAAATCTCATCTTGAATTGTAGTTCCCATAATCCCCACATGTTGTGGGAGGGACTTGCTGGGAGGTAATTGAATCATGGGGGGCAGTTACCTCCATGCTGCTGTTCTCATAACAGTGAGTGAGTTCTCACAAGATCTGATGATTTTAAAGGGACTTTTCCCCCTTTTGCTTAGGACTCCTTATTGCTGCTGCCATGGGAAGAAGGATGTGTTCGCTTCTCCACTACTGTGGTTGTAAATTTTCTGAAACCTCCACAGCCATGCTGAACTGTGAGTCAGTTAAACCTCTTTCCTTTATAAATTATCCAGTCTTGGGTATTTCTTTGTTAGCAGCATGAGAACAGACTATTACAATTTCCTTCTAAATCACTGATTGAATATCAAGTCATTATGATATTTGTATTACTGAAAACTTTCAGATATATTTAAGGAAACTTATTCAACTGTATCTTAAATCCAGTTATTTATAATAGGTATAGTCAAGGTGCTATGCAGAGTTTGGTTTTCTTATTTTAATTGCTTTAAGATTTAGAAGAAAAAATATTGAGATTTTTACAAAAATATTTATTGATTACTTTTTTCAGATAAAATTAGGAATTTTTCAATTACTTAACAGTAAACATCAGTATAATTGATAGCTTTTGTTACATAACTCTACTTTTTACTTTAACAGTATTATAACCTAATTAATTACATTTAATCTTCATGTAAACTTCTTTAAAAATCACAAAAATTGAGGTTTATAGTCAATTGGGAAAGAATGTTTTATTTTATTTTTTTCTGAAAATATTAACAGCTCTAATGGCTAATATTTATACACTTTTACCTGTGATCCCTTATTTAACTGTTTAACAAATCTGAACTGAAGTATTTCAAGTCTAGACCCTACACCCAATTCATTACATCTGGCAATTCTGCTTGGGATGTTGACAAAAAAAAGCCTTACAGGCAGGAATGATGAGATGATTTTGCTCAGAATAGCTCTCTCAGCATTTCTCCCACCAGAATCTGAGCCACTGTGTGATCAGCTGCTGAGGCTATTAGGGATCCTGGCACTTGGCATTTTTCTACCTCTTTCCATTTTATACACATTGCATTTTCTGCCTGCAATATAGTAACAAGTAATTATAAATTAAAAGCAGCATATATTTCTTCATTTTTCATAAGCAGTGCAGTATTTTTAAATAACTTCAAACGACCTTATTACACTCTGTTGATTTTTAGTGAAAGATACTTTGTTTTCAACATATTTAATACTACAGTATACCAAACACAAGATGGAGTGTGACTACTGCGAAGAGTTGGCCTTTGGTTTCAAACAGCAGTGAGTGCTCACAAAAGCATTATCCATAATTCATGGTTTCTCTTTGTTTAATTTTTTAAATCTTTTACTTATTTATTATCTAACAAAGTTTGTATCAATAGCCTACAGGATGATTTTCAATGAGATTTTTTAGGCAAGAATGAAGTAAATGCAAAACAGAAGTTATTTTTCTTTACGCCTCAGGAAAAATGCTTATTCAACTCGATGAATCAAAGTGTATCTGTAAATATTCAAAATTAAAATGGCCTTGGAAATTTATAAATTAGAGAAGAGTATTACAAATTTAGAAAAGCTCAGAGAATAATGGAGACCAAATTAGTAAATACTTAAATAGTATTATTTTGGTAATTTGTTAGATCTTTGAGATTTCGATGTTTGGTGTTTCAGGTTGAAGGCAACATTTAAACAATTTCCAAAATTCTAATTTATTAAATCAAAGAATAAGGAATATTAAGATAGGAAATTACAATCACAATTTATATTCAATTCATACTCAGTAAATTGCTTATTCTAAATGTTCTATGTTTTATTGTCATCATATTATTATGAAAATATGACATACATAGAAAAATAAATAATTTTATAATAGACATTAGTATATATTAACCACTTTGATTAAAAATTGTTAATATTGTATAACATGGTGACTATAGTTAATATATTGTATTATTGAAAATCAGATAGTATTTAGTATTTTGATAGAAAATATATAAGTATGTGAAGTAATGCATATGCTAACTAGCTTGATTACATTATTTCACAAAGTATAAATATTTCAAAGAATGTTGTACAAAAAAATTTAAGTTTACAATCATTGCTTTATGTTTTTATTTTTATTTATTTATTTATTTATTTATTTTGTGACGTTGTCTTGCTCTGTCACCCAGGCTGGAGTGCAGTGGCGCCATCTTGTTTCACTGCAAGCTCAGCCTCCCAGGTTCACGCCATTCTCCTGCGTCAGCCTCCCTAGTAGCTGGGACTACAGTCGCCCGCCACCACGCCCGGCTAGTTTTTTGTATTTTTAGTAGAGACGGGGTTTCACTGTGTTGGATAGGAAGGTCTCGATCTCCTGACCTTGTGATCCGCCCGCCTCTGCCTCCCAAAGTGCTGGGATTACAGGCGTGAGCCACCGTGCCTGGCCCATTGCTTTATTTTTGTTAATATTTAATATATTTTTTCAGAACCTTTTAATGGTTAGAAATCTTATATTTTACCTATGTATAAATCAGTATACATTTCTTAAACAAGACATACTCATAAAAATGCAGTACTAGGCCAGGCACGGTGGCTCACGCCCGTAATCCCAGCACTTTGGAAAGCCAAGGTGGGCAGATCACTTGGGGTCAGGAGTGCGAGACCAGCCTGGCCAACATAGTGAAATCCCCTCTCCACTAAAAATACAAAACTTAGACAGACGTGGTGGTGGTTGCCTATAATCCCAGCTACTCGAGAGGCTGAGGCAGAAGAATTGCTTGAACCCGGGAGGCGGAGGTTGCAATGAGCTGAGATCACACCACTGCACTCCAGCTTGGGCAACAGAGCGAGATTCTGTAAAAATAAATAAATAAATAAATAAATAAATAAATAAATAAAATAAATAAAATGCAGTACTAATATCTTACCTAAAACGTAATAGTATTTCCCTAATATATAATATCCAGTTCATATTAAAAATTCTCCAAATGTCTGCCAATATACTTTTAAATCTATTTTATTTTCAACCATGATTCAAAAACTTTTATAGATTGCATTTATGTACTTTTAGTCTTTTTAAAATCAATATTATATGCCTATTTTTTATTCTTTCCAAAAACACATTTTTAAATATAGTAAATCTGTTTTTGTTAGAATTTCCTACCTACTGGGTTTGCCTAATTTTTTTCTCCTGCTTTCATTTAAGCTTTTCCTCAAACCCTGTATTACCTCTAAATGAGAAATTAGACCTAAATGTCTGATAAGATTCAGGTTAAATATTTTTCGGAAATATGACGCAGGCAATGCTAGGTATTTTGAATTGCTTTCCATCAGTTGGCATCCAATATCAGGTTTTCCCCAAAATAAATGAGGCTAACTTTTATCTCTTTTTTTCAGATGATTACAAACCACAACTCTCTATTATAAAGATATGTTTTCTTCCTTTTGTAATTAGCAAGAAATATGTGAGATAATACTTTTGGCACCAGGCAAATATTGGATGCCCAAAAATCTTTCACTCACTATTTTTATTTTTTTCCTTACAATAATGAGTATGTACTGACTCAACAACTTAATAACAAATGATTTTTTAATTGTATCATTCTTTCCATAATTTTAGCTGGCCTTCTCCAAAAAAAATTAGCTTTTGATTACCAACAGGAGGTACACTATAGTACTTCCTTAAATTTTATCATTTATGCTTAATTTGGCCTCTTTAATGAGTTCAAGATAGAAACTCATTAGAGTTGGGGTAATATTGGTGGCAAATGAGTTATTTTTATACTTACCCCTGTCTTTTTAAAATGTCAACATGGACCTACACATGTTCATTAATTGAATATTTTAAAATTTATTTCAGTCATTTTTTCATTTTGATGCCCAAATTGTGGAAATGTATTTGGTAAAGCAAAAGAATATTATATGAAAATAGAAAATACACCTGTAAAAAAAGTATGACTATTTTGGTTTTTACTTCAGAATATATAATTTACTTACCAGATAATATCTTGGTTCATAAAAATATTTATATTATTACTCCTTGTGTTGCCTTGTAATACATAAACTAATCTCATCAAAGTAGATGCTATTGAAAAATTCAAGAGACACAATCATTTAGCTAGAAATTAAATCATCAGACATTGTTTGACTTACTCTACAGCATTGCAATAGCTGTCATTATAATCTCCATCCAATACTTAGTATATTACAACTCAGAAATTGACTTCCTCTCATACTTAAATATATGTATTTATGCTACTAAATATTTTTTAATCTTTCTTATGCCAATGTCAGTTAAACACAGAAGAGCACTATCATTTTTGCATTTAATTGCTTTGCATTTTATTGCATGTTCTATCTTATAGATCTAAGCAGTAATATGTATTAGAAAGGCTACAAATTGAACACTTCTCCACATAAATCTTGTTGAGTTTAAATGGTTTAAAAAATTTATTTTTTTCCTGCATTCTAACCTATGGAATTCAATAAAGGCAGAAACTGCTTCCATTAAAAAGTAGAAATAAACATAAACATGATATAATTATTTTTAAAATCTGCAAAAATTATAAATACAATGCAAATTCTCAAGTAATGTATTACTATCATAACATCCAAAAGAAGCACTAACTGAGTGTTTTTAGAAGTGGGCCATCTTGCATAGCTCTGTTCTATCTTGGCACATGGCTAGATCTAGCTTGGTAAGTTTTATGGAACAGAAAACTGAGGAAGGAAACTGTGGGGACAATAGGGGTATCATATGATGGGAGAAAATTAAGCCTGACATTCAGAATATAATAACCAGCATCTAAGGTAATAGAACCCAGTTAGCAGCCACAGATTTAAATAGGTATTGTGGAATTTAACAACTAGCAAGAAATGAGTAGGTTGTACTAATAGGGATTATAAAACCTGAATACATTTAGAAATTCATGCAGCTAGGCAGAAAGTCAGTTGACATTATGGAAATCTGCTTTATGTAAATGGGCAGACGCCATGAGGATGAATTCAATATGACTCTAATTTACCAAGAGAATGTCACAAACTTAATAGACTCTTTGGCTTACATGGACAAAGGTACTGACTGGAAAGCTACTAAAAGATTAAATGTCAAACATAGGAAACAGAAATAAAATAGTAAATACAATTAGATTATAAGGCAGGCCCTAGATTTGGGAAACAGGATGAACATCCTCTAATTTTAAATTAAAAAAAAAACACACGCATCAAAGCTAGTCTAGATGCAAGGAATGACTTAATAGGCAGTCTGAACACTGAGATGGAATTCCTTAATTATGTCCAGACCAAGACTGATGGGGCCTAAAGTGAGATGATCCAATGATGTGAACTTACAGGGAAAACATGTAGAATTCCAGAATAGACAGAGCTTGAGGGACTAAGGACAAAAATGGATTTCAGATTCTTTAAATTTAACACTAACATTGGTTATAATTTTAAAGTTATACAATAGGAAAAAAATTTAAATAATTTGAGAAGATCCTATATTCTAAAATATACATTAAATCATACACATATTTAGATAATTGCAATCTTTTATTTTCAAAGTAATGTTCAGACACTTGTTCTAGTCTCATATGACTGAAATAGTTAATGTTTAAATATTTACAGTTTATTGAATGAAATTTATATCTTAAGATTTCCTTTTATTTGTGCATTTACTATAATGCAGTGTAGCACTCACTCTCTAGCCATAAAAACACTTCCTTCATCCCATTTTCTTACTATAATGTGCTGCTTTTTCCCTGAGATGCATTCTAAAATAGGTAGCAATTGAATTTTTATTGTTTTTGTTAGCATTTTAGTTCCATATCTTTTTAAGGGGAAACAATGGCCCAGCTAATCACTCTGGATCAACTTCATACTTAAACCTAGATAATTGGACACTTTTTTCCATGTAACATTTCAATATTTGAAATAATTTCTTTGAAAGCATTAAAAAAAAAAACAAAAAATTCAGGAATTCTTTTTAAACTTGAGTAAAACAGGCATTATTATTTAGTGTGGTACATTTAACACATGATAATGTATATGAGATTTACACCATCATTTTAATAGCACATTGTTTAATTAGTTTCAATCCTATTAATTGAAAAAATGTTGTGGCAGATTGTCTGGTGACAGTTTATTTTTCCTGATTATACTTTTAGTAATATTTTATTGATTGCATAGAAAACAGTTTCATCTCTGTAATAACAGATCTCAAGGCAAGAAATATTTCATAAATGCGCTGAAACTATTACCTTTGCTAGCCTTTTAGAGCCAAAATTCTGAGTTTGTTTTAAAGTTTTTTTAAACTTTCCCATGTGATAGGAAAACAAATACTGATAATTTTCTGCATACTCAATGGAAATTTTTTTAAAAATTAA
The DNA here is from genome assembly GCF_000001405.40 of Homo sapiens. Classification (NCBI taxonomy): domain Eukaryota; kingdom Metazoa; phylum Chordata; class Mammalia; order Primates; family Hominidae; genus Homo; species Homo sapiens. Next base: position 94,683,952 of record NC_000006.12, on the reverse strand, counting down.
AAAAACACAGGTGTTAAATTTAGGGAGCAACATATCTATCAAGATTTAGAGTACAGTTGGCTCTCTGCATCTCAGGTTCCATATCTACAGATTCAACCAGCTGTGGATAAAAAAATAGTTGAGAACAAATTAACAATACAACAGTAAAAATAATATGAATAAAAACACACGGTATAACAACTTTTTACATAACATTTTCATTGTTTTAGATATTGTAAGTAATCTAGAGATGATTTAAAACATATAGGAGGATGAGCATAGTTAGTGTGCAAATATCATGCCATTTTATGTCAGCAACTTGAATATCCTCTGATTTCGGTATCTGCAGACATGTTGGAACCTGTCCCCCTTACATGCACAGGGATGACTGTAATGAATGTAATGAAATGCATCTCATTTTATAGTTTACTTTAGTATTGTGTACCATGTTTTAGTTCAGTATTTGGAAATATGTTGGAGCCTTTTAAGTGAATCTACTTTAACAAATAGTACCAGTTTTCCCTTGATCAAACTTCGTCTTCTTGGTGATGGCATGAGAAGTATGAGATCTTGTGTTTCTCATACTAGCTCTGCTTCTCAAAGACCTAGTTTTAGATTAATAAAATGATACTCTTTGAAAATGCAAAATCATGTAATAAGAATTACATTAATGCCCTTTTTCTAGATTATGGACTCAGTATATTACTTATTGATGTTTGGTTATCTCTCTCATCCCTTTTCTGTATTGTAATTGTGTGATCTCAACTTTTGAACATATCTGTCTTAAACATTTATTTTATTTATGTTTAAGACTGAGTAGGCAAATTGTGTAGTGAGAAAATAATTTCCACTGGAGATACGCATGGCATAGGTTTCACAATTACTGGATAACTAATATTAATGAAGTCCATTTTTTTTAGTTATTTTGTACCAGAAAAGAATATTTATATCTTTGAAAACAATGGTCTTTTAGCTCTCTACGTTCAGGCTCAACCACCTATGTAGGCCATGGTCAAACTATGTGCAAGTTTTTAAAATATCAAACAAATTTCCTATAAGTTTTAATGAGAGAGAGAGAGAGAGTAATTGCATGCTTTCATTTTCTACTAGATAATTATGTCATACAGAACATCTTATGTTCACCATCTGCTCTCTTAAAAAATCTTCTCTTGACCTACAACTTCATACAATTATTTATGTCCTATTTGTAGGAAAAAAATGTCTGTATGCACTATCTCCAAATTCCTCTTCTCCAGTTTTCTATTAATTTCATTTCAGTTGAGATTTCTGTTCCCAAATTGCAAAGAAGTTTGTATTCTCAGGGTCTTATTAATAAAGAGTATTTCTCCTAATCCAGGATTAGTTTTTAATTCTCATTAGCCACTAATATTTGATTCCAATGATTATTCTCCTTTTCCTAAAATCATTCAGTGACCCCCCTGCACCGGCCCTCCAGCTGCCTCAGTTCAGCCTGTTTTGCTTCTTTCTCATGATCTTTCTGAGCACTAGGGTCAGCATTACCCAGATCTCAATTTCTGACATCCTTTCTTCTGTACATACTCTATTTCCTTAAAGGATGCCAAGTCCCATGTCTTTACATGCCACCTCTGTGTTAATAACCCCATAATTTTTATCTCTAACTTGATGGTTTGCCTAAACATCTTTTTCTATGGCCAACTGCCTACTTGATTATCCCCTTGGACATACTAAAGGCACTTCAAATGTAATATGTTCTAGAACAAACTCTTATTTACCCTCTTCGTACTTGGCCCTAAATGGCAATGCCATTCTTCCCCTTGCTTAGGACAAAAAATTTGAAGACATCATTATCTATCATCATTCTGTCATATAACAAATCTAACTCATCTGTAAAAGCTAGCATGTCTTTATTCAATATACATCTCAAATCAATGGCTATTCACTGCCCCACAACTATCATTCAAAATATAATCCGATATTCTATCTTACCTAAACAATAACTAAAGCCTTATAATTGGTATTTCTACTACCATTTCTAATTTTCAAATCCCTATATGGCATTGAGAACAATTGTATATAAATATGTCAGATTAAGTCACTCTTCCATTGCATATTATGTTATTGCTACCATCTTATTCAAAATAGTACCTTAAGTCAAACATTCTTAATGTGGCCTAAAAAGTACTACATATTCTAGCCCCTATTAGTCACATAATTTTTCCCTTCTTCTATACCCTTTTCATCTGTTCCAACCACACTTGACTCCTTGCAGAACAGCCTGGGCTTGAAATCATTTTCTCCAAGATAATTATCAGTCCAGACACTTATTTAATTCATGTATCTCAGAAATCAAGAGAGGCATTTACTGTCCACTTTGTGTAAAAAAGCCAATGCCACCAACGTGTGACTATTTATCATTTCTGACCTTGTTTTTTTTTTCTACAGGATCTGTCAACAGAACTAAAAATTTTACCTAAAGTTATGATATACTTGGAAGATTTCTTTTTTCTAATCAAAATTCTCTTTTGAGAATCCAACTGGAACTCAAAATTCCCTTTTGAGCTCTGATTCTAACAATAGAGCTACAAAGTGAGAACAGGACCTATATTTTTGCATGAAAGAGCATTAATTGCTTAGGATTAAAGTCTTCCACTGGTAGTCTGGGATACTTTTCATGATATGCTAACAAGAACTATCAGGGTTGAGGGCCAATTTAACTTTCTTCCTATCTCTGAAGTAATTGACATAGGGCATGTTTATGAGAGAAGGCAAAGAGTCAGTCTCATCTCTGTCTAGGATAGGCCAAACCTGTGGTCCTGGTAAATCACGGTTTGTGCAGCAAAATGACTTCACAATATCAAAGCTCTTTATAAAATCCAAACAGTTACTGAGTTTTGCATAATTGACATTCTGCATGATTAAGTGCTTACTTTTATTAGATTAGTTTTGTGGGTATTTTTTTAAGGAATGTGCAATATTATGTGTTGACTGAATGGAATGGAAGTGATGCAACATTTTAACAATAAAGGCCTACAGAGAATAAGTACATGGTAGAAGAGAGAAAGGAGGGTCACATTAGGCTCATTTAACAGTATTCCACTCAAGCATGTTCCACTTCCCCTCAGGGCATGGTTATAAAGATGGTCCCTGCTGAGTTTATGTCTACACATCACTTGCTATATCTAGAGGGAGAGACAGTTAATGGTTTTACATACCCCTTGCTGTGCTCAGAATCATATGTCTTCTCAATCAAATGATACAGATAATTAGTAATTCTAATAAAGACTCAAGCTTGACAAATTTTACAAAATTGATTTTAATTTGTTTTTAGCTTTTTAAAAAAATTCCCAAAGTTTTAAGGCAAACTTTATCAATATATACTTAAGTAGACTAATAAACTTCGCTTTGGTATTGTATACAGATCTTAACAATTGATTCAGGGCAGATGTCTAACTGTCTCCTCTTTATAATCATATATTAGATATTTTCTAGAGCTTAAATTTTGCTTCCTAGTTTTTTCACCTACGAAATAGAGATGTTTTATTAATAGAGTAATGATTCGTTATCAAATAAAACAAGATAGATGTGGGTTTTGTAGCTTTGGTTTTATGTCTCCAAACTCTTGGTTTAGATTTGAGTTAAATGACAATTATGTAAAATTTAGTTTGTCAATTAGTATTCATTTTCATTAATGTATATATCGAGAAAAAGAGTGAGAATGCAAATTTAGATTAATCCTTAACTCTCTCAGAATGTAAGGCACCTTTTTAAGAAGAGGTCATGTACAAATTAAAAATTGTTTAGCTAGCAATATTTTATTTCATGAAATATAAGAGAATTTTTTCAATGAGTGATGAAAAGATTCCTGATCGAGTAAATTTTAGAACCATAAATAATTGCCTTAGATAATTTAGTACCAATTAAAATTTGTGAAAGTTTAAGAATCCCTGCAATATGTAGATTTACATTTGTTTAAATCAGCATGTTGAACAATATTTTATTAAGACATATGTTAAAATATCCATTTATACTATAAACAATAGCTCTTCAGCAGGACATAGATTAGGAAACAGAGGTAAAGCTATGATGAATTTTTTAGAAATTTCCTAAATAGAATGCTATGGAAATTATCAGTTTAATAATTCAGTCCTGAAATTTAAGTGCAAAATAAACCAGTTTTGTCAAAATTGACTGGTTATATTTGTGCCTAGAGATCCATGGAAGCATCCACCTGCAAATACATGCTTTTGATTTCTAACAAAATTAAGAAATGTTTAGATGCTTTTCTAGATTCCTTCACTAAATATAATTTTGAATAAAAATAAGAAGGCATGAGAAGTAAAGACAAAAATCAAGTAATGCCTTTAAAATTAATAACAAACAATTATTCTAATAACAACTTTTAAAATGCAGTTTAGAATTGAGTGGCAGAGACTGATATGAAATGCTAAGAAATAGCTGAGAAAAAAAGAAGCAAGAATAGTAGATGGCAGTGACAATCACAAAAATTGACAAAGCAACTAACATACTAAGATATAATGAGAAAAAGAGAATGGCACTAAAAGAAAATAGTCTTCTGAAATGAAGAATGGAGATCAATTATTCTTTAATTTAAATATTTTGATAATTATTAAATCCTCAGTTGATAGTTATTGTCTCAGGACTTTCTCTTTTTGTTGCTTTTATTAGAATCAGCCACAGCTTCTCTCATGATAGATATATCTTCAAAATGTAAATAATTTTGTAATTGCTTTATTATTAGACATAAACCTCTTAATTGTTAAAAAAAAATCTCAAAAATAGCTAAAGATAAAAATGTAAAAATCTGTGTTTATGTCACCAGCCACAGATATTTGTGTTAGCATCTAACATGTATCTAGTAAATTTTTCTAATTATTCTTAATCTGCATAGATATATCTTTTTGTATAAAAGTATATTTTATATCTATACACTTAAAAGAGGATTAATTTGTCTTGTATAACTATTTCTTATGTAAAATTTGCTTTGCCCATTTTTACACGTCAAAGCAAATGGATCAGTGGCATGTTTTTGTTTTACAGATATAAATATATTTAATCTATCATGGTTGTCTTAAAATTTTCTGCTTCCATAAACAATGTTATAATTAATACCATCATAAAAGTATGGCATAGCATTATTAAATTATTCATATGGGTAAATAATTGGTAATGTTATGCATATTTTACATAACTGTATGCATATTTGTTAACTTTATCCAGAAATTTTTACAAGGTTTCTGCTTGCAGTGTGTTGGATTATCTGTTTCTTCATAACTTCCTCAACGAGACTTTCATATATACTCTCTCTATATATCTTTATATATATATATGCACATACACCCTTAAAATATTTTATGTTATCTGTTAAACTTTGGGTCAGATTTTATTGTTGAGTTAATATTTTCATAATGATTTGTAAGAATTTTATAAATGATGAACATAATCCTCTCTTTATCACATATAGTACGAATGTTTCCTATTTTTCTTGCTTGTTCTTTTATTTTTAATTCAGATTCTCTGTTCAACAGCTCATTAATTTTTACATCCTTAAATTATCAACTAATTTTTCTGTGATAATTGCTTTGGTGTTATGTTTAAAATGGCTTTCTTGCGTTCCTAAATTAGACACAAAATCAGATGTAATAAAACTTGACGTTAAACAAAACAGTTATTTATAACAGAAGACATCATGAACTAAGACAAGTTGTAATAGAAGGGAACATTTTCTGCAGTGTGTATAACAGATGAAGATTAATTGTAATGTAAGTTTTTTAAAATTTTAGAAAAAATTAGTAATACAAAACATTTTTCTAAAAATATTAAAATTTTTGACAGGTAAATAGCACATCAAAAACACAAATGGCTGGTATAAATATACCCAATATAAGCCATGCTAATATTTGCCAATATATCATTATTCATTCATCAGATTAGGGAAAAAATAAAATATTGGTAATATTCCATGTTAAATAAGAAATTTTTTAATTTATTTGGTAGAAGTTTAAATTAAAAGAAAAAATAAAGTATAAAAAATGTGATTACACATACAAAAATTCTAACTGTAAATTCTTAAATTTGACTAAAATAAGCAATTTGTAGGTATATTTTATTGCAGAAAAATACTTGCATATAGGCAAAACTATATAGTTGCATATAGTCATTCTGGCATTAGTTGTGATAATTATATACTTATATACACGCATATATAAACACATGAGGAGAGAGAGGTAGAGTGCTAGAATGTTCTTCATATTTATGAAATTTGATTTCAAATGAGATAACTCAAAAAACATTAAAGAAAGAGGAGCATAGTCTAAAATGCAAATAAAATATCCGGAGACAGTCCTGGCTTTTGTCAGTGAGATTCAGGGGTTCCAGCAATATAATCAAATCATATGATTACTTTTTCGTAAATATTTTTTCATATAATATATGTAAAAGAGAGAGCTCTTTTAGAAGTATTATCATTTCTATTGGTTCCAGGTTGCCTCAGTTATTATTTACATAATATAAAAGAAGACATTTATGCAGCCAAAAAACATATGAAAAAAGATCATCATCACTGGTCGTTAGAGAAATGTAAATCAAAACCACAATGAGATACCATCTCATGCCAGTTAGAATGGTGATCATTAAAAAGTCAGGAAACAACAGATGCTGAAGAGGATGTGGAGAAATAGGAACACTTTTACACTGTTGTTGGGAGTGTAAATTAGTTCAATCAATGTGGAAGACAGTGTGGTGATTCCTCAAGGATCTAGAACCAGAAATACCATTTGACCCAGAAATCCCATATTGTTAACTTTAGGCACTATTTTGTGTAGCAGATCTCTAGAACGCATACGTCTTGCATAACAAAAATCTTATACTCATTAAGCAACAATTTCCCCATTTATCCATACCCCTAGCCTCTAGCAACCATCATTTTATTTTCTGCTTCTATAGTTTAACAATTTTCGATGCCTCATATAAGTAGAATCATGTAGTATTTGTTCTGTGACTGCTTTACTTCACTAAGCATAATGTCCCGGAGGTTCATTCATGTTGTCACAAATGGCAGAATTTCTTTTTATTTATTTATTTTTAATATTTATTTATTTAGAGGCAGAGTTTTGCTCTTGTTGCCCAGGCTGGAGTGCAATGGCGCGATCTCGGCTCACTGCAACGTCTGCCTCCCGGGTTCAAGCAATTCTCCTGCCTCAGCCTCCTGAGTAGCTGAGATTACAGGTGCCCGCCACAACATCCGGCTAATTTTTGTATTTTTAGTAGACACAGGGCTTCACCATATTGGCCAGGCTGGTCTCAAACTCCTGACCTCAGGTGATCTGCCCACCTGGGCCTCCCAAAGTTCTGGAGTTACAGCTGTGAGCCACCATGCCCAGCCCAGAATTTATTTTTATTAAGGTTGAATAATATCCCATTCTATGTCTATAGCACATTTTCTTTGTCTATTAGTCTGTTGATAGACATTTGGGTTGTTACCAAATCTTGGCTATTGTGAATACAGCTGTAATAAACATGGAAATGCAGATATATTATACAGATCCTTAATTTATTTAAGGGACCTCCATACTATTTTCCATGGTGGCTATTTCATTCTACATTCCAAGGAACAATATATAATGTTTCAAATTTCCCCACATCTTTGCCAATACTTACCTTTTTTTTTAAATAATGGTCATTATAAGAAATGTGAGGTAATATGTCATCGTGATTTTGACCTGTACTTTTCTGATGATTAGTGATGCTGAGCATATTATATATTGTATATGTTCCTTCAATACCTAGTTTACTGAGAGTTTTTAACATGAAGGAATGTTGATGTTTATTGAAGGTCTTTTCTGCATCTATTGAGATAATCGTGGTTTTTGTCTTTAGTTCTGTTTATTTGATGAATTATATTTATTGATCTGCATATGTTGAAACAGCCTTGCATCCCAGTGATGAAGCCGACTTGATCATGGTAGATAAACTTTTTGATGTGCTGCTGGATTCGGTTTATTAGTATTTTCTTTAGGATTTTTGCATCAATGTTTATTGGGGATATTGAACTGAAGTTTTTTTTTTTTATTGTTATATTTCTGCCAGGTTTTGATATCAGGATGATGCTGACCTTACAAAATGAGTTAGGAAGGAGTCCCTCCTTTTCTATGGTTTGAAATAGCTTCAGAAGAAATGATACCAAATCGTCTTTGTACCTCTGGTAGGATTCATCTGTGAATCCATCTGTCTTGGGCTTTTTTTGGTTGGTAGGGTATTTATGACTGTCTCAGTTTCAGAACTCGTTATTGGTCTATCAGGGATTCAACTTCTTCCTGGTTCAGTCTTAGCAGAGTGTATGTGTCCAGAAATGTATTAATTTCGTCTAGATTTTCTTGTTTATTTGCATAGTGATGTTTATAGTATTCTCTGATTGTTTTTTGTATTTCTGTGGGGTCAATGGTGATACCCCCTTTATCATTTTTCATTGTGTCTATTTTATCCTCTCTTTTCTTCATTAGTCTCACTAGTGGTCCATCTATTTTATTAATTCTTTCAAAAAATCAGCTCCTGGATTCATTGATTTTTTTTGAAGGGTTTTTCATGTCTCTGTCTCCTTCAGTTCTGCTCCAATCGTGGTTATTTATTGTCATCTGCTAGCTTTGGGGTTTGTTTGCTCTTGGTTATAAGTTCTTTCAGTTGTGATATTAAAATGCTGATTTGAGATCTTTCTAACGTTTTGATGTGGGCACTTAGTGCTATAAATTTCCCTCTTAACACTGCTTTAGCTGTGTCCCAGAAATTCTGGTACATTGTTTGTTTGGTTTTATTGGTTTCAAATAACTTCTTGACTTCTGCCTTAATTTAATTATTTACCCAGGAGTCATTCAGGAGCAACTTGTTCAGTTATTATGAAGTTGTGTGGTTTTGAATGAGTTTCTTAACCTTGAGTTCTTATTTGATAGTGCTGTGGTCTGAGGGACTGTTATAATTTCAGTTCTTTTGCATTTGCTGAGGAGTGTTTTACTTCCAATTATGTGATCAATTTTAGAGTAAGTACCATGTGGCACTGAGAACAGTGTATATTCTGCTGTTTTAGGGTGGAGAGTTCTGTAGATATTTATCAGGTCTATTTGACCCGGAGTTGAGTTCAAGTCCTTAAAATCATTGTTAATATTTTGTTTCAATGATCTGTCTAATATTGACAGTGGGGGGTTAAAGTCTCCCACTATTATTGTGTGGGAGTCTAAGTCTCTTAGTAAGTCTCTAAGAGCTTGTTTTATGAAACTGGGTGCATATATAATATAATTAGGATAGTTAGCTTTTGTTGAATTGAACACTTTACCATTAGGTAATGCCTTCTTTGTCTTTTTGATCTTTGTTGGTTTAAAATCTGTTTTGTCAAAAACTAGGATTGCAACCCTGGCTTTTTCCTGCTTTCCATTTCCATGGTAAATTTTCCTCCATCCCTTTGTTTTGAGCCTATATGTGTCTTTGCACATGAGATGTGTCTCTTGAATACAGCACACCAATAAGTCTTGTCTTTTTATCCAACTTGCCATTCTGTGTCTTTTGATTGGGACATTTAGCCCATTTACATTAAGGTTAATATTATTATGTGTGAATTTGATCCAGTCATCATGATGCTGGCTGGTTATTTTGCAATTGTTAATGTAGTTGCTTCTTGGTGTCCTTGGTCTGTATACTTCAATGTGTTTTTGATAGTAATGGTTTTTTATAGTAATTGTAGCTGGTAATGGTTTTTGCTTTCCATATTTAGTGTTTCCTTCAGGAAGCAGGCCTGATGGTGACAAATTCCCTGAGCATTTGCTTGTTGGAAAAGGATTTTATTTCTTATTTGCTTATGAAGCTTAGTTTGGCCAAATATGAAATTCTGGGCTAGAAATTTTTTGCTTTAAGAATGTTGAATACTGGCCCCCAATGTCTTCTGGCTTGTAGGGTTTCTTTTAGAGGTCCACTGTTAGTCTGATGGGCTTTCCTTTGTAGGTGACCTGGCCTTTTTCTTTGGCCATCCTTAACAGTAGTTCCTTCATTTTGACTTTGCAGAATTTGATGATTATGTGTCGTGGGGTGGATCTTCTCATGGAGTGTCTCTGGATTTCCTGAATTTGAATGTTGACCTGTCTTGCTGGGTTGGGGAAATTCTGCTAAATAATATCTTGAAGTATGTTTTTCAACTTTGTTCTATTCTCCCATCTTTTTCAGTTACCCCAGTTGGTTCGAAGTTCAGTCTTTATAATCTCATAGTTCTTGGAGGTTTTGTTCATTCTTTTGTAATTTTATTTTATTTTTCTCTAACCTTGTCTGCCTGTCTTATTTCAGCAAGATAGTTTTCAAGCTCTGAGATTTTTTTCTCTGCTTGGTCTATTGTCTATTGATGTTTGTGTTTGCATGGTACATTTCTCATGCTGTGTTTTTTAGCTCCGCCAGGTCATTTATCTTCCCCTGTAAACTGGTTATTCTGGTTAACAGCTTCTGTAATGTTTTATTATGGTTCTTAGCTTCTTCTCATTGGCTCAGACCATGGTCCTTTAGCTCAGCTAAGTTTGTTTTTATCCACCTTCTGAAGTCTACTTCTGTTGAGTCATCCATCTCAGCCTCAGCCCAGTTCTATGCCTTTGCTGGAGAGGTGTTGTGATCATTTGGAGGAGAAGAGACACTCTAGCTTTTTGAGTTTTGAATGTTTTTTCACTAATTCTTTCTCATCTTCATGGGTTTTCCTAATTTTGATCTTTGAGGCTGCTGACCTTTGGATAAGGTATCTGTAGGGTGTTTTCAGTTGATGTTGTTGTTGCTTTCTGTTTGTTTGTTTGTTTGTTTGTGTTTAACAGTCAAGCCCCTCTTCTGTAGGGCTGCTGTGGTCTACTGGGGGACCACTCCAGACCCAATTTACCTGGGTCCCTCCTGCACCTGGAAGTATCACCATTGGAGGCTTCAGAACAGCAAAGACAGCTGTCTGCTCCTTCCTCTGGGAGCTCCATCCCAGAAGGGCAGTGAGCTGATGCTGGCTGGGATGCTCCTGTGTGAGATGTCTGGTTGGATGTCTCACCCTGTCAGGTGGCATGGGATAAGGGACCTGCTTAAAGAAGCAGTCTGGTTGCCCCTTGGCTGAGGAGGTTTGGCTACACTGGGGAGAATATACTGATCTGGACTGCCAGCAGGCAAGAAAGACTAGGTCCACTGAACACAAAACCATGGCTACCCCTCCCCCAGGGGCTCCTTCACATGGATATCAGAGTTCTGTCTGAAAACCTCTTGCTGGAGTTGCTACAGTTCCTGCAGGGAGTCTTCACCCAGTGAGGAGGGATGGATCTGGGTCCCACCTAAAGAAGCAGTCTGGCCATGATCTGCCACAGCCACTGTGCTGCGCTGTGGGAAATTCCTCTGGATCCAAACTGCCCAGTCTCCTCCCACCAGCCATGGAAAACAGCTGACTGGAGTCACAGTGATGGCAGCCACTCCTACCCTCAGGAACTCTGTCGTCTTAGGCAGTGTCCAGCTTGCTGCTGCTGGCCACAATGCAAGCAGGTAGCACAGCTCTGCTTCAGACTCAAGACCCTGGTGAGGTGGTCACATGAGGAGGTCTCCTGATCTGCAGGATGCACAGATCCATGAAAAAGACATAGTTTCCTGGCAGGGTAGCAGTCACTCACCGCCTCCCTTGGCTGGGTGTGGGAGCTCCCCTTATCCCATGAGGCTCCCAGGTTATTTCTCTACCCTGCTTTTCCTCACTCTACATGTGTTGCACCCACTGCCTTGTCAGTCCAAGTGAGAGAACCTGTATACCTGGGATGATGGAGCAGGATTCACTCACCGTTTTCAATCTTCTCAGTGGGAAGTACACATCAGCCATCTTGGCTCCTCACCACTGACTTTACTATTTTCCAAAATATTAGTAGGTTTCTCAAGGTCATTTATCTAATAATTTTGATTTTCTACTAAATATAATGGTGACACTATTAATATTATAAATAATTTTCATATGATGATTTTGTTTTGAAATTTAGAATCTCATTATCTATTCTGATTCCAAAACACAATTTTGATGTTTTAAAAGCTCTAATATTAAATTTATATTAAATCATGTAATATTTAGAATTTTGAAGCTCCAACCCCAACCCTCAAAACTCATCAATACTCTGTTCTGATACAATTAGATTTATACATTATTTTAAGAAAATTGGTTTCATTATAAAATTGACTACTTAATGTCCATAATAATGGACTTTCTCTCCATTTTAAAAATTACTGCTTTTACGGCTCTTAATTAGTTTCATAATTTTCTTACGGTGTTAATGTCCCAGGGCATTTTATATTTTTTGAAGTTATTGTGAATGCAACACTACTTCTACTACCATGTAATTATTACCGGAATATAGGGTAGCTATTGATGATTTTACTCTTCTTGCAATATCAGCTTAGTGTTTGTGTATTACATTTAAAAATTTTATGAAATACACTCTGCTTACCCTAATGTCATCCACTTACAGTTATTTTTAATGCATTCTATTTTAGTATATTCATAGAGTTGTACAACCATTATTAGTATTTAAATACACGTGACTCACTTCTTTCACTTAGTGAAATGTTTTCAAAGCTCATCTATGATGTGGCATTGATCATTACTTTATTATTTTATTGCCAAATAATATTCTGTATGTCATATTTTGTTTATTCACTTTTCAGGTGATGGCCATTTGAGCTGTGTCTTTCTTTTTGCTATTATGAGGTTAGAGGGACCTTGAGTTGAGTATTATATTAACCATGAATTTTATTTTCCATATTCTGATGCTTTGACATTTGGGGCCTTGTTAACCCTAAAGTTTGCCCCTCATAGGGTTTGCCAATTTCTTGAGATATTAAACAACTGACCCATGAGCATGCTTTTCAATACAAACCAATTAATCTGGAGCCCACACCCCAACCCCTTCCTAGTGGAGCTCTCACATTCCAGGCCATGATCCATCTGCCCTAATTGCCCCAGGACCAGGTACCAGAAAAAAAGAGAGTGAGACCTTATGCCCTGGAACCTGCTGGTATTATTCAAAGTCACCAACACCAAGACTGCTGACCAGAACTTGCCTGTTCCTTCCTGCATTTGTTTGTTCTTACGCTGCTAATAAAGACATACCCAGGACTGGGTAATTTATAAAGGAAAGAAGTTTAATTAACTCACAGTTCCAAATGGCTGGGGAGGCTTCACATCATGGCAGAAAGTGAAGGGAAAGCAAGACACATCTTACATGGCAGCAGGCAAGAGAGCATGTGCAGAGGAACTCCCCTTTATAAAACCATCATATCTGGTGAGACTTACTCACTTTCGCAAGAACAGCATGGGAAAAACCCACCCCCGTTATTCAATTACCTTCCACCGGGTCCCTCTCACAACACATGGAGATTATTACAATTCAAGGTGAGACTTGGGTGGGGACACAGAGCCAAACTGTATAATTCACTCCTGGCCCCTTCCAAATCCCATGTCATGTCCTCACATTTCAAAACCAATTATGCCTTCCCAACAGTCCCCCAAAGTCTTAACTGATTTCAGCATTAACTCAAAAGTCCGTAGTCCAAAGTCTCATCTGAGACAAGGCAAGTGTATTAGTTTTTTCTCTTGCTGCAAATAAAGACATACTTGAGACTGGATAATTTATAGATGAAAGAGGTTTAGTTGACTCACAGTTTCACATGGCTGGGGATGCCTCACAATCACGGTTGTAAATGAAGGGGAAGCAAGACACATCTTACAAGGCAGCTGGCAAGAGAGAGCTTGTGAAGGGGATCTCCCATTGATAAAACTATCACGTCATCTGAGACTTATTCACTACCATGAGAACAGTAGGGGAAAAACCATGCCAATAATTCAATTATCTCCACCTGGCCCTGCCTTTGACAGCCAGGGATTATTATAATACTGGGTGACATTTGGGTGGAGACACAGCCAAACCATATCATTCCACCCCTGGCCCCTCCCAAATTTCATGTCCTCACATTTCAAAACCAATGGTGCCTTCACAACAGTCTCCTAAAGTCTTAACTCATTTCAGCATTAACTCAAACGTCCACAGTTCAAAATCTCATCTGAGACAAGGCAAGTCCCTTCTGCCTATGAGCCTATAAAGTCAGAAGCAAGTTAGTTACTTCCTAGATACAATGGACATGCAGGCATTGGGTAAATACACCCATTCCAAATGGGAGAAATTGGCCAAAACAAAGGGGCTACAGTCCCCTTACAAGTCCAAAATCTAGTGAGACAGTCAGATCTTAAAGCTCCAAAATGATCTTCTTTGACTCCATGTCTCACATCCAGGTCATGCTGATGCAAGAGGTAAATTCCAATGGTTTGGGCAGCTCTATCCCTGTGGTTTTTCAAGGTACAGCCTCTCTCCCAGCTGCCTTCATGGGCTGGCATTGAGTGTCTGGAGCTTTTCCAGGCACATGGTATAAGCTGTCAGTGTATCTACCATTCTGGGGGCTGGAGGAAGGTAACCCTCTTCTCACAGCTCCACTAGGCGATGCCCCAGTGAGGACTCTGTGTGAGGGCTCACACCTCACATTTCCCTTTTGCACTGCTCTAGGAGAGTTTCCCCATGAGGGCCATGCCTCTGCAGCAAACTTTTGCGTGGACATTCAGGCATTTCCATACATCCTCTGAAATCTCGGTGGAGGTTCCCAAACCTCAATTCTTGGATTATATGCACCTGTAGGCTCAACACCATGTGCAAACTGCCAAGGCTTGGGGCTTACACCCTCTGAAGCCATGGCCTGAGCTGTACTTTGGCCCCTTTAGCCAAGTTTGGAGCAGCTGGGATTCAGGGCCAGGAAACCATGTTTTCCTGCTCAGCCTCAGGGCCTGTAATGGGAGGGGCTACTGTGAAGGTGTCTGACATGCCCCAGAGACATTTTCCCCATTGTCTGGGAGATTAGCATTTGGCTCCTTGTTAGTTATGCAAATTTAGGCAGTGGGCTTGAATATCTCCCCAGAAAATGGGCTTTTCCTTTTTACTGCATTGTCAGGCTGCAAATTTTTTAAACTTTTGTGCTCTGCTTCCTCTTGAACCCTTCAGTGCTTAGAAATTTCTTCTGCCAGACTCCCTAAATCATTCTCTCTCAAGTTCAAAGTTCCATAAATCCCTAGGACAGAGGCAAAATACCACCAATCTCTTTGCTAAAACATAGCAAGATCACCTCAGCTCCAGGTTCCCACAAGGTCCTCATCTTCCTCTGAGACCCTCTCAGCCTGGACTTCATTGTCCATATGATATGGACAATTATTGTTATTATTAATAATAATAATTATTATTAATAATGCTAATTAGTATTAGCATTTTGGTCAAAACCATTTAACAAAGCTCTAGGAAGTTCCAAATTTTCCCACATTTTCCTGTCTTCTTCTGAGCTGTCCAAACTGTTTCAACCTCTGCCTATTACCCAGTTTCAAAGTCACTTCTACATTTTCGGGTATCTTTACAGCAGCACCCCACTCTACTGGTACCAAATTACCTTATTAGTTTGTTCTCACACTACCATTAAAGACATACCCAGGACTGGGTAATTTATAAAGGAAAGAGGTTTAATTGACTCACAGTTCTAACAGTTCTACATGGCTGGGGAGGTCTCCCAATTATGGCAGAAAGCAAAGGGGAAGAAAAGTCACATCTTACATGGCAGCAGGCAAGAGAGAATGTGCAGGGGAACTCCCCTTTATACAACTATCTGATCTCATGAGACTTATTCACTATCAAAAGAACAGCACGGGAAAAACCCGCCCCCATGATTCAGCTACCTTTCACTGGTTCTCTCCCATGACACCTGAGGATTATTACAATTCAAGGTGAGATTTGAGTGGGGACACAGAGCTATACCATATCACTTCCCAAGGAAACCACACAAAGGCTTTTGCACGCAGTTCCTTCCTTCTCACTCTCTCCCTCCAGCCTCTTGACTGACCCCATGCTTCCCTGCATGGACCCCTGGGATGTAGCATGCCCCTTCTTCTTCGGAACTGTGAGTGACAAACTATCTTTTCAACGGCAGTCATCTCATGATCTGCTAGTCTTATTATACATCAGGTTTTCTATTAATACACTATATTTTAAATCAAGTATGTAATTTCACTTGGCTCAGTTAGGCTCTGGTAAAATAGTTTCTATTGAAGGCAAGCCTTGTTAAGGAGAACAGAATAGTCTTGGTATATTTCAAAATAGTTACATTTTCCCTACACTGCTAAAAGCATGCAGGGATTTTTCTTCAATCTTTATTATGAACCTGGCAGAGCTCCTAACAGTAAAACTCATGAAGTGTGGACATCACTCTAAGACTGGACACCCTGGCATGTTAAACTATCAAACTTATTGGAGTTTTCCTACCATAGTACTATTTCCAGCAGTCCTTTCTGTTCCTGTGCTTCTGCTCAAGTAAGCTGTAATTCTGTGTATCTGCCTGCGGTCTCTAAAATTTGGAGGCCTTAGATTTGCTCTCTAATCTCATTACTCTGACAAATTTAAAATGGGTTGTTTATTTTCTGTTTGTTCAGTGTTTTATTTATTGTGAGGGTGAGTGATGACTTCCAAGCTCTTTACACAGTGGATAGAAACCAAAAGTTCAATGTTTTAATTTATAGTCTCAAAGATTACCTGATTCTATAATTTTCTTTTTTTTCTAACTTTACATCAAAACTATATTTTTATGGTTCTGTTATTTACAAAAATAAATAACCTTCTCATATAGCTCTATGCTAAGTAACGCTAATTATTCAACTGTTACTAAAAAGAATAATTTTTATGACAAATATAGTACACTAAAATTACCATAAGTATGCAGAAAACTAGAATGAATAATGATGTATAAATACAAAGCATGATTTAAAAATTACCCTCAATGATATTATATTTGGGTTTTAACAGGCCTTTGAGAAATACCTAATTTTATGTAATAAAAAGTGAGTTACACTATTTAATTTCTTATATTTTTTTCTGTAGAGAATATAAGATATCTTTATGCCTATTGCACTCCAATGATACAATTCCTCCCTCTCACATGAACATATCATTAAACAAATATTTTATCTGATGTTCAGAGTATAGTGAGGTAAATTTCCGATAGTTGGCATCAGTTTAGGCCCATGAAACATTTCTCAAGCCCCAAAGAAACTTGCACTAGTGCTTATTAAAAAGTATGGTGTCTCTAGGTGTTTATGGTACTTCCACAGCGGTAAGTTATTCATAACTCTAGTGCTTATTATGAACAGACAACCAAGACATCTCTTATGAATAAAACAATTTTTTAGTTGATGTAACTGAAATTTATTTGTTGAACTATCTTCAAACAAGCTGTATGCAAGTACTCAGAAATACCATCAGAGTTCTTGATTTTATTTCTCTGTATCTTATTTCAGTCTGTCTTTTCTCTTTGCATACCGGCTTCATACTCTTCTGCAAATACATTCTTCCAAAGTGATGAGAGACACGACTGTTCCTAGACCCACATTACATTGTTAACCTCAAAAAACAGAATAGATAGTATCTGTTTTTCAGGTACCAGGGCGGGTGGGGAGAAGTTGGAATCATGTTTCTTACTTCTTTTCTTTATAGAAATTGCCCCCATCGAGAGACAGTGCACTCTTTTTGGCCAGGCTGGCTCACTTGCCCATCCCTCTGTGATGACTGTAGCAAACTGTGACTGTCAGTCATCTCAGCAATATGGACCTGCTGGGTAGTTCCCAAATGAAAGATTCATGCCATGGAGGCCAGAGCAACATAGAACCTCTAACATGAATGAATAAAAATGTGAAATCATTTCCACTAAATTGTCCTCCATATGTCATTGCTATTTTTTGGGTTAGATTTATTTGTTACCTGAGGAGAAATGTAGCAATTAAAACAATGTTATTACTGTCAATATATAATGAACAGATAAGCTACGTGGAAAAAACAAAAAGAAATATATATTTTTTCATATACATTTTCAAATTGCAAGATTGACATTCTGAAAGATAGGCATGACCATCAAAAGTGAAATAAATTATTTTTAATCTGCCACCTACTGCTATTTAGCCTTGCTAAAAATAACTACTTAAAAATTACCTTCAATTTGCAATTTTGATAATTCTAATATTTTTGTGCAGATGATAGTAATATATTAAATATTTAAAACAAATGCACCATTTTTTATTTTCTAAGTTATGTTTATTAGGATTTGAAGTATTCTCAAAATAATAAAATGATTTTAAATTAATGAAAGAAACATGATTTTGCCAATTTTTAGGCAAAACAGTATGTGAAATATTGTAATGTAAAATTTGTTGTTTTTCTCCATTATAGCCATTAATTAAAACTATTAAGTAATTTTTGTCATAGGCTCTAAGGTTTGCAGAAGCAGGGAGAAGGTAAAAGTGTCCGAAACACTATGTCACAAAACTTTATATTCTCGATATTTCATTACAACATAAAAACATTCAAAAATATTTATAGATTTCATGCTTAAAAATTTAGTAATAATTAACAGGGTACTTTTTTTTGATTAGATAAACCAGTATCTCCTTTGTCTAATTTTAGATTAAAAAAATCAAATTGGAAGTTAAGTAATTTGCCCCTGTTTAAATTATGTTGACAAATTTGAGGGCAAGAAGATGAGTTTTAAATTTTTCCCAAATAATATGTGGATGATTACATTTTAGGACTTGACAAGGATTATACAATCTAAAAGTTTATCTTCTTCCCAAAACGGTTCTGTGAAAAATGAGACTGGTATTTGTTGTTCCCTCATTGTCAGAGGGTTATAAAAATGGGTTGCATTAAATCAGATTGATTTACTCTTTTGACCATGCTCAATTAGACCAGAAACATAAATATTTCCAAAGTTAGAAGTTATTGACGTTCATACGAATTATTGTGCTATCTACCCATTAATGTGATAGCTATAACAGGCTATTCTAAAACACCCATTGAACTTGCATTTAGCCTGATTGAAATTGAGATTATACTTAAGATCTCTTGACTTGTTCTGAGTATAGTATTGTATTTCAATGGTTTTCTTTTAAAAATTAAAGTGAAATCTTAGTGTAATTCTTAGATAATAAAAAATTTGGACTTTTTTCTCCATTTCTGGGATGGAATCTCTAAATCTTTGACATTCCCCAGGTTTATTAGTGTCTTTGCTATTTATTATGGGCTTCTAGGATCACACCTGAGTTCATGCTAATGAGGGGACTCTGATGGGCCTGGATATAGTTTTAGAATGGGGACAGGCTATATGAAAAAGACCAAACATGTGATTAGAGATAGGGAGTTTTGAGTCTTATGGTATCAGCTCAACCTACTGAGAGGAAATAAGGGATAGAGATTGTGTTCAATCATGTGGCCAATGAATTGAACAATCCATCTATATAATAAAACAATTAATACTTGAGTGTACTGCCTGGTTGCTGACATGCACTGAAACGCCAGGAGGGTGATGTGTTCTGACTCCACTCAGAGAGGACATGAAAATGTGGCCTTTAAGACCCTCCCAGACCTTTCCCTATGGGTTTTTCTTTTGGCTAGTCTTGATTTGCCTGCTTCATAACAAAACTGTAATTGTAAGTATCATGCTTTTCGAAAATTTATGACTCATTCTAGTAAATTATGGAAGCTGAGAGGGTCATGGCAACTCCTGAAATTGCAGCCATTTGGTCAGAAATGTGTGTGGCCTAGGAACTTCTAAGCTTGCAGCAACTGTCTTATCTAAGGGCAGTCTTGTGGGAGATTGTGCCCTAAACTAGTGAAGTTTGACCTAACTCCAAGTAGTTACTGTCAGAATAGCATTGCTGTAATATAAGATATTTAAAGTATAAACTACTTAATAAAAATGAATTATTTAAAATTTTGGTAGCCATAAATATAAGAGATAAAAAATCTATAATCACAGTAGGATTTATTCCTAAAATAAAATATTTTATATATCTGAAATATGTGATATCAATTTTTTTAAAAATATGTGATCAATTTTTAAAAAATGTCATTGCTTAATAATAAAGGCATTATAAATAATATATTTCATCAAACTGTCTTAGTCTGCTCAGGCTAACAAAAATACCTTAAAAAGGGCAATTTACAGTTAAATATTAAATATATAGTTACATATTATATATAATACATTATATATTGTAATATATATTATACATAATATATAATCTAGTATATATATAATATATTTTTTATATATATATATATACACACACACACACTAGATTTTTCTTGGTCTCATCATCGCTTCTGGCCACTGCTGCTCGTATCAAGGAAAGATATAAATTTGAAATATAAAATGATATGTATATAAAATGATATGTATGACATATATTATGTATACATATATAATATAATACATATTATACATATATTATGTATACATATAATATATGATCTATTATATATACATATAATATATGATCTATTATGTATACATATTTTATATATATATATATATATATATATATTTCCTTGATACCAGCAACTGTAGCCGGAAGCAATGGTGAGACCGAGAAAAATCTAGTCTATCAATCCAAACTTACCTATGTGATCTGGTGTTAAAAGCAGAAACTCAAAGTTTATAAAGTGTTAGTGATGGCATTCTGGAGTCTGTTCATCTCATAATGTATCCATATGCCTTATTGTTGACATTATATTACATGGTTCCAACAATATAAAATTGAACCCTTCCCTCAGCCCAGTATAGTTTAATTGATTATATCTTCAGGGGATGTAGTTTGTCTGCAGATCACTTTGATAAATATCTAGCATGCTTCTTGAATTGGGAAGTAAATCTTTCATTGCCTCTTTTCTCATATATGTATAATGGTCCATAGGGATAGATAAATGGTTATATACTAGGCAGGAAAGATTGATAATGAATCTGAGCACATCTGACAACTTTATAAATTTATTTTTTAAAATTTATTTCTTAAACCTTTTTAGAACAGTAAGTTTCATGAACTATATAAAGCGTTAGACATACAAAAATTTATCTTTCAGAAATTTTCAACTCAGAGCTACAAATAGAAGTGTAAAAAAATAAATGCAATAAAGTTGACAAGTTCTATAATTGAGTAGGCTGGTATAAAGAAAAGAAATTCTGCTTCTGCAGTTTCAAGCAAATATTTAACACAAGTTTTTACTAAATTTAGGAAAATAAATTAACTATTCAGAACCACTATGCCTTTGTTTACTGATGTGTATAAGAAGACATAATTCTTAGATTGTCAGGTTGTTTTTTCTCTTTTATAATTGAAATACTCTATATCAATTATACAGCTCATTTAAAAAATAAATTTTAGCTATCATTATTTTGTGCTTTGAATTCCTCTAGTAAAATATATTAGAACATGTTAAAAGGATAGTCAAGGGAAATCATACTGAGAAAATAATATTTAAGTTGAATTTTATGATTAGCAAGTTCTTGCTTAGACAATTTGTGGGTGATATTTATGACAGAACAAAGTTAGCAATAATATTTACGTCATAAGTGAAGATGAAACAAAGATTTCAGTAGTGAAAGTTCCTTTTGCTTTCAGGGAATGGTGTGGTTAAAGCCTAGAGAAATGAAAGAGTGCATAGGGTTTCAAGACAAGGATAACATCTCTTCTATGGTACTCTAAGATATTATACTTTAATAGCTGCAGTCTTCCCATCATATGGTATGTATTCACTTATCATTCTCCCACTTCTTGAAGCAGACATTGCCCACTTTATCTTAGTGAATCCACAGCCACTTTAATAAATACATGTTCCACAACATGGGCTGGCAAACCATAGCCCTTTTTATTGAAATAAAGTTTTATTGGAACACAGCCATGCCAATTTATTTATATTGCCTACAGATGATTTCACACCTATAAAAGCAGAGTTGAGTATTTGCAACAGAGACCTTATTTCTCACATAACCTAAAATATTTACTATTTTACGATTTACATTTTTTTAAAAATGCCAACTCCTGTTTACAACGTTCGGGAGGATAATATAATAGAATGAAGGGAGAGAGTATATACTGGGTCACTGTGTCAGTAAACCAAGCAGGAGATGGAGGATTGGACTAGGGAAGTAAGCATGAAATAGTGAGGAAGAAGAAGAAATAATTAGGCCTCCCTGAGCCCAGGACACTGACTTTAAATTACACACAATATTGACACTAAAAACAGTCACAGAAAAATGCTAGCAATAAAGACTTTTGAGTTGTTCTTACTCTCTTTGTTTTATGTCAATGACACAAGTTAACAGAGTACTCAAAAAATTTTGTGAAGTATTTACAACAAAATTATACTTCTTATAGAGCAGTGGTCCTATTAGTACATTTTTTGTTGGTATTTTTTAAAATTTTTAGTTCTTTTAAACTTTACTATTAGTAGGTATGTTATTTTTCTACTCTACTGGACATTTTTTAATGTAATGACCACTATCCTTTGTCCCCACAAGAGAAAGCCAACCTTTAAAGGATTTCTGTAACAAAAGTAATATCTCCATTTGACAATGTGAATGACCTACTTTTTTTTCCTTCCTTAATGTCAGAATAGCTCTTTTCTTTGATGAAAAAAGAAGACTCATTTATTAATTACTAAGCTCCTAAAAGCATACATAGAGAAAATTGTGGTATACTTAGATTTTCAGATTTGTTTATTCACTCACACTAAATATATTAGTATATATCTTAGGTATTATATTTGGATATTCTTGGTATCTTCAGATGAATTTCTATGCAAGGAGGAAATTTTGTTAGTTGCTCTTACATGGTTCTCTTGTCATACATGTCTGGAGAGAAAGTATACTTTTTCACTCTGTTTAAGAATTGTTTGCCTCAGATTCAAGACACTTCATACTTAGTCAGCATTCCCTTCCTAAAAGGGATAATCCTAATAGTAGTTGGCTAAATAATACTCACATTCTGCAGTTTTCTTCCATCACTTCTCTTACCCAATTTTTCCAACTACCCAGATTCTCAGAATTCTTTGAGTCGCAGATAAAGCTCATGCTTTTAAATAATGATCTCTAGGTTACTAGAGTTCACATTAAATTCTTTTTCCACTGAAATCTTGAGTATTTATTTTATGACCTATTATTGTTATTGCACGCTACATTTTAATGTCACTTTTTTTCCATTGTGAATTGTTTTGTATCACTTCCAATGTCCTTTGCTTTCTATGTTTATTTCCCCTTTCTCCAAACACATTACAAGGTCTTTAAATGTAAAGGACCTTGTAGAAAAGTTAGTCTGTATCTCTACCATTTTTATCTATGAGTAATAATTTCTCCATGTCAATTTGCTATATTCCTATTATTTTAAATAATTACATTGTTTTGGGATATTTTTGGTGGGAAATATAATGCTACATCTCAGTTCTGGAAGAGCTTTTATTCCTCAGTCAGAAAAAAAAATGAAGAAATGATTGACTTTTTGTCAGGATGAAGGGCATGTAGTATAGTCAGTATATTTATTATTTATGTTAATATTTGAAGGAAAAAAAATAAACCAGCTTTTTTTTTTTTTTTTTTTTTTTTTTGGAGATGGAGTCTCACTCTGTTGCCCAGGCTGGAGTGCAGTGGTGTGGTCTCAGCTCACTGCAACCTCCACCTCCTGGGTTCAAGCAATTCTCTTGCCTCAGCCTCCAGAGTAGCTGGCATTACAGGTGTCAGCCACCACACCAAGCTAATAATATATCTCTTAATTACATACATACATTCTCACCTTCTAGGATCTGTAAAGAATTAAAAGTGATGGCAGGCATGGTGGCTCACGCCTGCAATCCCAGCACTTTGGGAGACGGGTGAATCACCTAAGGTCAGGAGTTCGAGACCAGCCTGGCCAACATGGTGAAACCCTGTCTCTACTAAAAAATACAGACATTAGCTGGACATGGTGGTGGGTGCCTGTAATCCCAGCTACTCAAGAGGCCAAGGCAGGAGAATTGCTTGAACCCAGGAGGCAGAGGTGGCAGTGAGCTGAGATCCTGCCACTATACTCCAGCCTGGGCAACAAGAGCAAAACTCCATCTCAATAATAATAATTAAAAATAAGAAAACTACAGTACATGCTATGGATTACCTTGCATATATTAAGTGCTCAATAAATGCTAACTCTACTACTGCCTGCCCATTTTCTGGAACAAAATTCTCATTCTCATTTTGAAAGTGTTCAATTTAAGCAGTATAAAATAGGATGTTTTGCATGACACAGTTATAATAAATTTTTCCAATAAAAGTATGGATTATTTTTGGTTTCTTAAGCCTTTTTAGCTTCCTTCTATACTTATGAGTAATGTGTACATAGTAATTTCAAAATACAGTGTAAGGTACACACTTTTTTTGAGGATATACCAATAACAATACCTTTCTTCAGGCTTCATAGGCAATGAATGATGTTTAAAATATGATTGCATAATTGGCATTTACATTTGTTTACATGTACAAGCTGCCTATTCATTTCATCCAGAAGTAGTATCTCTATGATTCTCACACTGAAAAATGGCCAGTTTCAACAGTACTTATGGTGGACACTGTGATGTTATTTCTAGATATGCCCTTATGATTGAGATATTTATCCTCCCAGTTTCTGGATAACCGTCACATATATTCCTCAGCTGTCAGCCTATTTGAAGTTTTGCCTTGGTTAAAGGAACTGCCTTGCTCAAGGTCACAGATTCTTCAACAGGCATTTCTCATAATAGCCGATCAATGTGAAGCTATTAAGAGATAGTCCCCTCATCCTATCTGGGAGAAAATCCGAAGGTTCGTTACAAGTCTAGAGCTCCTATTGGTTTAGCTGAGCCCTTGGTTAGGACTGCATGGTGGCTCAACTTCCCTCTCTTCTCAATACTGCTTGCTTCCTTCCCTGCATAGTGTTAATCCCAAGAGCACTTCCTCCTGAACATTCCACATGGTAATGTATGTCATTCCTGAAGAATTCAGACAGTGAAAGTACTAATTAAATTGTGCATAATCTTTTTAAGACAAAAGATTTTCCTAATTTGGAGACTTCTACCTTTATAAGCACGCAAGTAATATTCTGTGACAATACCGTTTTTCTACTTAAACTGGATTTTAAAATCAAAAGTATGAGAAGAAGATATAACATTAGGTCACTATTTGTTTCTCAGTTTTTAATTCAATAATCACATTTGTTTGAATTGAGAAACAACAGCAGTATTTTATTTTTATGTAAAAATAATGGAAAGAAATTGAATCAAAATTCAGTAATCACATTTGTTTGAATTGAGAAACAACAGCAGTATTTTATTTTTATGTAAAAATAATGGAAAGAAATTGAATCAACCTATATATTAAGTTCACTAGATAGTGAATGAAAAAAGTAGCCAGGAATTTAAAAGATTATCTGAAAGTAAAACCATGAGAGAAAGGCTGTGACAAGTGACAACAACAAAGGAAACAAAGACAAGAAGAAAAAATGGGAGAGAGGAAGAAAGAAAAGGAAGAAGGGTGAAAGAAAGGAAGGAGGAGAGAAATAAATAATAAAAAGAGACCCTCCAGAGTAGGATGACCAAATAGAAGCTTACACCTTTGTTCCCCCAATAGGGACACCAAATTTTATCAACTAACTACACACAAAAACCACCATCACAAGGACCAAAAAGTAGGCGAGCAATCATAGTACATAGTTTTAACTTGATATCACTGAAAGAGACATTGAAGAAAGCAGAAAAGAAAGTCTTGAATTGCTGACACCATTCTGCCACCATCCCTTGCAGTGGCCACATGGTGTAAAGGATCTGTGCATTTCTGAGGAGAGTACAACAATTGTGAGGTTATTCATTGAACTGTGATGCCTTGTCATAGCAGAAAGCAGAGCTGGACTGTACTCAGCTGACCCCTGCCCAGAAATGGAACATCTGGAATGGCCTTAGCTAGCAAGGAATGGTCCATCCCAGTGGACAGAGCCTGAGTTCCAGCAAACATCACCACCATGGCTGAAGTGCACTGGGGCTCCAAGTGAACTTGAGGGGCAGTATAGACCACAAGGACTGAAATTCCTGGGCAAGTCCTAGTGCTGAGTTGGATTCAGAGCCAGTAGACTGGGGTAGGCATGCAACCTACTGAGACACCAGCTGGGGTAGCTAAGGGAGGGTTTGTGCTACCCTTCCCCTACCAATGGCAGTGGTCCTATAGTGTTGAGAAATCTGTGTGCTTGGGAAAGGGAGAAAGCAGTGACTGATGGACTTTACATTGAACTCAGTGTTGCCCTATCATGGTGGAGATATGCCAGGATTTACCATCTGCCCACTAAAGAGTACCTGGGCCCTAAATAACCAACAATGATACCCAGGTAATATGCCATGGCATTGGGCTCTGAAATGTGCTTGCTTCAGGTGTGACCCAGCACGTTCCCAGCTGTGGTGACTATGATGAAAGCCTCCTGTTTGAGAAAGCAGGGGGAAAAGTCAATGGGACTCTGTCTGTACCTTATGTATCACCTCAGCCAAGTGATGTAGAGCACTAAGCAGGCTCTTGGGGTCCTTGATTCCTGGCCTGGACTATTGGACAGCATTTTTGGACCTGTTCTGAGCCAGAGGGGAGCCCACTGCCCTGAAGAGTGAGTCCCAGGCCTGACAGCATTCATCACAAGCTAGCTGAAGAGTCCCTGGGCTTTAAGTGAATATTGATGGTGATGTGGCAGAACCCCCATAGGCTGATGGTAGTGGTGGGCACAGGAAGAGGCTCTTCTGCCTGTGGAAAGAGGAGAGAAGAGGGGGAGAGATTCTGTCTTGTGGTTTGAGTGCCAGCTTAGCCACAGTAGAATAGAACATAAGATAATTTTCTATGTTTTTTATTTCAATCCCTGGTTCCCAGACAACACATCTGGACCTACCTGGGGCCTGGGAGAACTCATTGCCCTGAAGGGAAGAACAAAAACCTGGCTAGCTTTGCACCTGCTAATTGTAGAGCCCTAGGGCCTTGAGTGAATTTAGATAGTAGCCAGGTAATTGTTAGAGTAGGCCTTGGGTGATACCAAGTGCTATGCTGACTTCAGGTCTGAACTAGCACAGTTCTGGTGGTGGTAGCCACAGGAGTGTTTGTGTCTCTCCACCCCCAATTCCAGGAAACACGTCACAGAGAAAGAGACTCTGCTGGGGAGAAAGTAAGGGAAAAGAACAAAAGTCTCTGAATGGTAATCAAAAGACTTCTAGATTTTATCTAAGATCACCAAAGTAGTACTTCTATGAGTCTGCAAGAACCACAGCATTATTGGGTTTTAGGCCCAAGTCCTTTCAAATAACTGGAAAGCCTTCCCAAGAAGGATGGGCACAAGGAAGCCCAGACTGCAAAGACTACAATAAACACCTAACTCTTCAATGCCTAGACACTGACAAATATTTATGAACATCAAGACCATCCAGGAAAACATCATCTCACCAAATCAACTAAATAAGGAATCTGGGACTAATCCTGGAGAAACAGATATATTTAACCTTTCAGACAAAGAATTCAAAGTAGACCCAAAGAAATTCAATATAACACAGAGAAGAATTTCAGAATTCTAGCAGATAAATATACCAAAGAGACTGAAATTGGTAAAAAGAATCAAGCAGAAATTTTAGGGTTGAAAAATGCAATTGATATACTAAAGAATGCATGTCTCTTAAAAGCAGGATTGATCAAGTAGAAGAAAGAATTAGTGAGCTTGAAGACAGACTACTTGGAAATACACAGTCAGAGTAGATAAAAGAAAAAATAATAAAAAAGAATGAAGCATGCCTATAGGATCTACAAAATAGCCTCAAAAGGCACAAATCTGAGTTATTGGTGTTCCTTTTTCCTCTATGTTTATATCATCAGTGTTGTCATTAGTGTAAGATGTTGAGTTATAAGATAGTATTTGCAAGTCTTAGGATAAACTCAAATCACAAAATATACAACAGGTACACAAAAGAGATAAAAAGCAGAAAGTTAAATCATGCAACCAGAGAAAATCTCCTTCACTAAAAGGAAGACAGGAAAGAAAGAAAAAAAGAGAAGAAAACAAAACAGTCAGAAAACAAATAACAAAATGGCAGGAGTAAATGTTTGCTTATGACTAGTAACATTGAATGTAAATGGACTAAACTATCCAAACAAAAGACATAGAAAAGCTGAATGAATAAAAGAGTATGACCCAGTGATCTGTTGCCTACAAGGAACACATTCACCTGTAAAGATACACATGAACTGAAAATAAAAAAAAGAAGGAAAAAGACATTTCATGCCAGTGGAAACCAAAAAGAGCAGGAGTAGCTATATCAGACAAAACAGATTTCAAGACAAAACTTTAAGAACAGACAAAGAAAGTCATTATATAATGATAAAGGGATCAATTCAACAAGAGGACATAACAATAGTAAATATATATGCATCCAGCACTGGGAGTATATATAGCGAATATTATTAGAGCTAAAGAGAGAAATAGATCTCTATACAATAGCAGCTAAACACTTTAACATCCACTTTGAGCATTGGAAAGATCTTCCAGACAGAAAATCAACAACAAAAATAAGTCAGACATAATCTGCACTGTAGACCAAATTGACCTAACAGGTATTTACACAACGTTTTATCCAATGGCTGCCAAATACACATTTTTTTCTCCTCAGCACATGAATTGTTCTCAAGGATGGATCATATGTTAGGTCACAAAACAAGTCTTATTCAAAAATTGAAATAATATCAAGCATTTTCTCCAACTACAATGGAATAAAACTAGAAATTTTAGAAATTATATAAACACATGAAAATTTTAAAAATATGCTCCCAATATCCAGTGGTTCAATGAAGAAATTAAGAAGAAAATTTAAAAATTCCTTGAAACAAATGATAATGGAAACACAACATAACAAAACCTATGGAAACAGTGAAAGCAATATTAAGAGGAAAATTTATAACTATAAGTGCTTACATAAAAAAAAGAAAAATATCAACTGCGTAGCCTAATGTTGTGTCTTAAAGAACTAGGAAAGCAACAGCAAACCAAACCCAAAACTAGTAAAATAAAACAAATAATAAAGATTGAAGCAGAAATAAATGAGTTTGAAATAGAGAAAACAATACAAAAGATCAATGAAAGAGGAAATTGGTTTGTTGAAAAGATAAATGAACAAACCTTCAGCTAGACTAAGAAAAAAAGGAGACAGGACCCAAATAAATAAAATCAGAGATGAAAACAGAGACATTACAATTGATAACACAGAAATGTAAGGGATCATTAGTGGCTACTATTAGCAACTGCATTCCAAAAAGTTAGAAAATTTAGAGGAAATGGATAAATTCCTAGACACATACAACTTAACTAAGATTGAACCCTGAAGAAATCTAAAACCCAAACAGACCATAACAGGTAGTGAGATCAAATCCATAATAAGAAATCTCCTAGTAAAGAAAAGCCTGAGACCAAATGGCTCCATGCTTAATTTTTTGAGACAGAGTCTTGTGTACTCAAGCTATAGTAGTTGGGACTACAGGCATATGCCACCACACCTGGCTATTTTTTATTTTTATTGAAGACAGAGATTCACCATGTTGGCCAGGCTGCTCTCCAACTCCTGGCTTCAAGTGATCCACCAGCCTTAGCCTCCAAAGTGCTGAGATTATAGGCGTGAGCCACTGCACCCAGCCAAAACTTGGTACTTTCTTAAATAATGAAGTTATATCCCTATATTTCTAAATCATGAATTATATTTAAAACAATTCCAAATTTATTACATACTATAATGTAGAAAATAAAATGTGGGGTCATGACCTTATATATACACATGAGACAGAGAGAGAGAGAAAAACCATGAAGCAAAAATAAGTATGTTGCCTACATAAAAATAAAAATAAAGATATTTGAGTAATAGTGTCATACAAATGAAATCAATACCTGTAAAACATACTTTTAAAATGATCTTTATATAAAGAGATACTCTATTTCATCAATAATAAGGAAAGTCAAATTTTGGCCATTAAATTGATAAAATTAGAATTTATTTATTTATTTATTATTTAGAGATGAGTTCTTATTATATTGCTCAGGTTGGCCTCAAACTCCTGGGCTCAAGTGATCCCTCTTGCCACCATCTCCCAAAGTGCTAGGATTACATGTGTGAGCTACCACGTTCTGCCTTGATAGAATTAAATATGATAAAATGTATATATCAATTACCTGATTAATGTGTCAGTAGGCCAAAACATGTCATATGATGCCTTTCCACTATAAGTGAACTCTGCCAGGCAATATTTCCCATATTAAATAGCAGAGCACAAGGTAAAGAAAATTGTGCTTTATTTTGAGGGCATGTACATGTACATGTACATGAATCCCCTTTCCTCAGATGATTTACGGAGGTGTCAAACCTCTACATGTTATGGGATATATCTCTTACCCTCACAGGAATATTGCTTGTCTATTAATTTCTGTTTTCCTGTTTTATGAATATAATATCTTTAATTTATAGACTAATGTGGTGGTTTATGATTGATTGGAGATTATTAAAATCTTTACAGCTGGGCATGGTGGCTCACACTTATAATTCCAGCACTTTGGGAGGTCAAGACAAGAGGATTGCTTGAGCCCAGCAATTCCAGATCAGCCTGAGCAATATAATGAGACCCCAATCTCTACAAAAAAATTAAAAGATTAGCCAGGAATGGTAGTGTATGGCAGTGGTCCCAGCTACTAAGGAGGCTGAGATGTGGGAATTGCTTGAGCCCAGGAGGGCAACACTGCAGTGAGCTCTGATTGTGCAACTGCACTCCAGCCTGGGCAACAGTGTGAGATCTTTTCTCAAAAATATATACATTAAAATAATAAATAAACTAATAAAACAGTTTAAATAACTGCACAAAATTTAAGAATTCACGTAATCTGGAGGGAAAAAATGGGAAAGACAAATTAATGTCCCTGACAGGTGAAAACAATCTACATATTTCTATAATATTTTTATTTAATGAGACAGATAAATTCTTGGGCAACAGCTGGATACCAATTGCCTTTACTATCCCAGCCCCTTACCAATGAGTGTTATTCTCCATTTTCTTAGTTGCAAGCAATAAAAAGTGATCTGTAATTGAATAAAAAAGAAATTATTTGAAAGATGGAAAGGTCACAGAAATACTGGTACAATTGAAGAACCAGGATATAGAAACAAACAAGAGAAAAGAAGGCCATGCCTCCCAAGCCACAGGCAAGAATAACATTACAGCAACCAGTAGAACACTAGATGTAACCTATCCATAAAAAAGCCACAGGACACTACCCTTGCTCACAAGGTTACTTCTGTGTATAGAGACTGTATAACACTGCTACCACTTCTGTCAACACTGCATTTCTTCACTCTTTTGGTTTTTGTTAACCTTAGCTTCCAACTCAAAATTCAGAGGAGGTACATTTAACTTCCCAAGCCAAGGTCACTCCTGTGTTTTCATTGTATGGGAGACTTGAGCCATGAATATCAGATATTTGGGTTTTTGTAGTGTGAGACAAAATCTGTCATCCACTAAGTTCATCAAATATAAAAAGAGGTTTTTGATATTGGACAAAAGAAATAAATAATAGTGCATCTATTATAATTAAGTAACATTTTAAAAGATAGTAGGAAGAAAGGTATTCCAGAAAGAGAAAGAGCATAGAAACTTACCAAATTTTGAGACATAAATGTAAGGCATATTTGAGATATCTGATAGAGTACTTTAGATATTCATCATGTTATATTAAGTATATTGAGTATATATTGCTTATATATTGAGTATATACCATGTATTGTGAAATAAGGCAAGAATAACTCATTAGTTCCAAACTTAGGCTGGTCTTGAATAGCAATAAAAATGTGTTTATCTGTAATTGTAGAAATTTGTTTATTTGTAATTAAATCTTGTTTGAAAGTACAAAACAGCCACACAGGAGAGAACGGTAATGGCCCAAGTGTTATTAACAGAGAAACAGGCTAAAATTGCTGGGCAGGTATCAAAAAACTGCTGATAAAATCAATGTAATTAATAGAAAATAATTTAGTAATGTGGCCTTATATATTAATGAACCATAGTTTATTAAACCCTGCCTCAGCCTCTTGAGTAGCTGGGATTATAGGCATGCACCACCATGCTCAGCAAGCACAATTTTATGACACTCTTCATGTGACTACTCATTTCCTGTATTACTTTTGAAGATCAAGAAAAAGTATACACAGTCTCTAGAACATAGACATTGGAGAAATAACTTAGAATACTCTCTAGTCCTCCCTTTCCTTCAGTATGTACTACATAACATGTTAGCTATAATCATGAAATTTAAAGTTTTAGTTTGAGTTGTTTGACAAAATGCCCACTATACTGTAGAGAAATAGACATAATATACAAAAATAATATAACAAGGCCTTTAAGTGACTGAATATGATAAATTATTTGTTAAAATATAGTCTTTTGCTTAAAATGCAATCATTATTATTATTGATTAAACAATGTCACATATGATATATTCGTTTGTTTCTTTTTTCTTAATTGAGAAATACAAGGAAAATCATGACCTCATTGCAATAAGTATAGAGTTGAAATTGATGACATCATCCAAATTGGAAATCTCTTTGAAATCAGGAAGTAATTTTATAGATTTCATTACATGGAAGCTTTTACCGTGTGCATTGTCAAAAGTAAGAGCGTTTAACTCAGCTTCTCTGAGTTAAAACAGGCCAATGAACTGTTTTATTTAAATGGGAAATTAGAATTATAAAGCATATTCAAATACTTCAATTTTGCAGTATCCCTCTGTGTACAAAAAATATGTTTGGTAATTCTAGTAACATTGTAAGTTATCAATGATATACAGCAATAAGTAAAATTAATTTCTATGCTTTATAATTACTTTAAATGACTACTATGCAAAATACTTTATATATAAATTTATGAAGGAATTACTTTCCCACAAAAGCCTGTTAGCTAGTAGCCAATTTGTCAATATTTGCAAGTTGAAACATTTTACAGAAATGTGTAAAATTCTTGTTTTTTTTTCATTCAAAGAATGTAAAGATCAGAAAAACTGGGCTGAAATTCTCACACACAGAAATGTCCATTAAAGCACTGAAGTTGAATGACAGCATAAGGAGGACATTCTGTTTGTTATACTCTGAGTCACACCCCACTCCAACCCAACCCTGACACTAAGTATCAATTGCCATTTATTAACTGTTTGTCCTGTTTAGCTTCAACCCAACCTAGTTGTCCCTGTAGGCACATTTGTCTTTGATCCAGGTATTGCTGGATGATGTGTGTAGTAAGGATTGGCTCAGCGGCTGCAATAGCACACTGGCTCTGGTTCTGAAGAATTTGCTCCTATCAGATAGAAAGTATTTTCAGTAGAAGATATGAGAGTTGTCCAGAAAGAGAGATTTAAGCCTTTGGAAGTGAATAAAGGAAAAGCACTATCCCTGATGATCTGGTGAAGAATGAAGCTGAATGCTTCTAAGGTACTCCAAGCTGTGCATGAAATGCTCCAAATGACCAGGAGGATGGCATTGTTAGGTGCTATGAATAAGAGCCCTCCAGAATCTTCCTTATCAATTTACCTTTAAACAGTTCCTTCTTTCTTGCCTCAGCAGGAAGTGTCAATTCTGGTATTTTTAGAAATTCTTTCTTCCCTTGAATGATTACCCCAACAGGATCTTTTGAAAAAATAGTACATTTTAAAGTTTTATGTAATTACAACCTGAGGTCCACTAGCATTGAGAAGAGCTTTGTAGTTAGAATGCCTTGCTGTTTGCACAGAAAAACCCTGTGGTTCACTGCTTGTCTGATACTTCAATTATTTGACTGTAATCACATAGTAAAGCAGATATTGATTTCCTAGGTATTCAAATTACACCCTTAAATGCGAGCACCAGTAAAAAGATTTTTTATCCCTTAAAATGATACACAATTTAGCAATATGGGCTTGTGCTCATTGTAAGGGCATATGTTCTTGTATTTTTTAAAGTTATCTTATAAAACTCCATCATAGGGATAATTTCTTCTACATATTCAGACTTTTTCTTGTAGGAGGTGTTCTTTTCATTGGCACATAAAAGTAAAGGTACATTATAATTAGAAGAGTGGGACATTTGTGAAAGTAAACAGTTATTTTTTTCTCTCTTACAATATAAGCAGTCCATATATATTAATTTTTTGTGTGTGATTTATAAAAGGTGTGTGATTATAGAGTCTCCAGGCACATATGAAATATAAAAATAGTTAGTATCGACCAATAAATAGAAGCTTATCTTACTCAATTGTGTTATTGAACTATTTTCTTTCTCAATATATCATGGAAATATCAGGGAAAAATATTTAATGCTCTTCTTAGTTGAAAATGATCAAGTATATTAATTAGACTTCATCAGTACTGTGTAAATATTCCTTTAAACAATACATTACTGGCAACAAAAAATTCTGACTAGCCATTAACAAATTTGGCCTTTTTTCGTTTCCAACATAGAAATCATAATTCTTTACTATGAAGCTGAAGCACAGAAATGATATCGAAGCTACAAAAGGAAACATTTTCTAATCATTCTCCTAGGTTTGGATAGTTAGTTTGAGTGAAAACACACAAGCTATGCCATGGGATAATGAGACATAGACATATAAGACAAATAAGTGAGAACATGAAAAAAAAAAATAGTGGACCATTTTTCTTGTCTGTTAAGAGTTTTGGTTGAATCCTTGGCACATTTAAATTACTGTCTTGTCCAGAAATGATAGTCTCCTACCTTTTTGTCCTCCCCCAAGTAAAAGAAACACTGTTTGAGATCTGCAAGTATTAATTAAGACATCATCTTACTTACTCTAATGTAATATTTTTAAAGGGTAAGAGTATATTTGGAGTTGAACATTCAATGGTTAAATTTTCTATGTCCATTTTTTGGGGTTTCTTAAGGATTTGTCCAATTCATCAGAATTATTCACTTAAAAATATAATCACCATCTTCATCTTGACATGCTTTCTAATGTATTTTCATTCATTACATAATAATAGAAATAAGGATCATGTTTTTATTTTATTTCTGTATCTTTCATTAAACATTTTATACATAATCAATATAATTAAGATGACTTTAAGTAATAGTTTACACTATTTATTAGGATACTGAATATAAAATTGAATATATAAATCTTGACTTTATCAAAAAAGTTTATTTGACATATCTTTGCCAAAGAGATTTGTTGGATATCATATAGCCTGTCAGGTAAAAATGTTGTATTAGCATCTGTCATTTAAGGGTTTTCTAATTACATGAAGCTATGAATTATAAACATTTACATAGAATACTAATTCTAAGCAATTATTGAGAAATAATTCTATAATTGGTTTTATCTTGTTTTTTTTTTTTTAATTTTTAAACTATTGAGAACATCAAGAAAATTATAATAAACCCAATGCACATGTGTTTACAGCCTGGGTGTATACAATGTAAACATATGGCCTTCATACACAGACATACAAATCAAGTGTACAATGAAGTTAGAGTAGTATCTTATTGATCAAGCCTGATTATAACTCAGTCTATCCATTTTTTCATTCATGCACATTTTAATTTTAAAAGGAAAAAATATTTTAAATAGAGGGGCCAAAATTTCTCAGTAAATTGTTGTGGAATCGACAAACGAGTTTTTAAAAGTAATTGTTATATAAAACCATAAGTTGGGTGCAGTGGCTCATGTCTGTAATCCCAGCACTTTGGGAAGCCAAGGCGGTGGGTGGATCACCTGAGGTCAGGAGTTCGAGACCAACCTGATCAACATGGAGAAACCCTGTCTCTACTAAAAATACAAAATTAGCCAGGCGACATGGCGCGCACCTATAGTCCCAGCTACTCGGGAGGCTGAGGCAGGAGAATCGCTTTGAACCGGGGGGGCGGAGGTTGCAGTGAGCCGAGATTGCACCATTGCACTCCAGCCTGGGTAACAAGAGCGAAACTCTGTCTCAAAAAAAAAAAAAAAAAGATGTG
The DNA here is from genome assembly GCF_000001405.40 of Homo sapiens. Classification (NCBI taxonomy): domain Eukaryota; kingdom Metazoa; phylum Chordata; class Mammalia; order Primates; family Hominidae; genus Homo; species Homo sapiens. The sequence continues at coordinate 94,648,004 of NC_000006.12, read as the reverse complement.
CTCAAGCAATAACCCCTGCTTTGTGCAAACGTAATCAAGTTAAGAAGAAGTCACACTGGCTTAGAGTGGATCCTAAATACAATGTCACTGGTATCTTTGTAAGAAGAGAGGACATAAAGACACAGGAGAACAGGAGAAACAAACAAGGAGAATACCATGTGGTGACAGTGGCAGAGATCAGAGTGATGCGTCTATGAGCAAAGGAACGCCAGGAGTGCAGGCAAAAAATCCTCAAGATGGAAGAGGCCAGGCACGATCTTCCTCTAGAGCCTGACCTTGCTGAGGCCTTTATTTTGGAATTCTAATCTCCAGAACTGTGACAGAATAAATGTCTGTGCTTTAAGCCATCCAATTTGTGGTACTTTGTTTTCTTAGTCCTGGGAAACTGATGTAATTGGTCATATTTCATTGCTATAAGTTATTTGAAACTCATAAAATAAATTAATGTTGCTTACATTGTGCCAGGTGTTTTCAGATAGATACATTATAATTTTCTTTGGTAATTTATTTATGAATATACAATTATGTATATGAGATACATTGGTATTGATCTTATGAGTTGTATGTAAATTTCCGTATATTAGTTCATTTAATTTTCATAACTTCTGAGGTGTGTTGACCTAAAGGAAGAAGCTGAGGCACAAAATATAATTTTAAAGAGTTTATTTGGGCCAATGTGAGGACAGCTGCCTGGGAAACATTTGTATGTTACCTTGGGAAGTGCTCTGTTTGCCCTCGGTTATTGTCAGGTTTTTAAAGGCAAAAATGAATAAAAGGAGTGGGCTCATACAAAATCATCAGGAATTCTCATTGGTTTACAGAAATGACATTGACTAGTGATTTCTATCCATTGTTAAGCTGTAGGATGAGAGTCGTGGTGTCCAGCATGTGACATTGTTAGGTTAATTTATAGCGACTTGTGCCATCAGTCAGTCTAGAGTCACATGGCAAGCAGGTTCAAGAGATATCATTTAGTTCAAGGAGGGCAGTGGGATATAAGTGCTGTCTTTTTCCAATGCCTCTCTGGGCCTGATAGTTTAAATGGGGCTCATATTCCTCAGATTAAAAGTTTCTTTCTCAGGTACATACTTACGCTACTTTTATTTTACAGTTGAGTTAATTGAGGCACAGAGATGATAAACAAATGTGTCTATAGCCTTACAGCCAAAATATCAGAACACAGGTTAAGATCTGCTTATAATAATAAAGAAGAAAGGAAACAAATTTCTATTATCGTTTCAGCAAGGAACATAGATACACAAAACTGATGTAGTCATATTGGATCCCTGCCTCTAAGAGTTTGGAAGTTAAAATTTCAATTTAAAACTCCTTGACCTATGTTTTCTTTTTCTCCATGAATAAGAGATTTACAATTCTCTATTCTTCCACGTTTCTTCTTCAATAGATAGGAAAGTCTCATGATAAACCCAAGATTGATACAACGGTCATGCCACTCATGATCTTCCAAGCTGAGGTAGCTGTACACACCCCTGAAAAGTACCATTGATACTGTCACTCGCTTTATTTCCTTTAGCTAACACAGGAGTATCAAAAATAATCTTGAATTGTTTATTTTCTCTTTGCTCCTCAGTGTCGTTAACACGATAACCAGAACTTAGGGCAGTACCTCGTTTAAATAAATCTACATTTCCTATTTATTTCCTTAGAACTTGTTTGTTTATTGTGTGTTATTGTTACCTACTAGGATATATTTGAATAAAGAAGATAGAACTGCTAATAATACTCTCTCTCCCCACATTGATATGCATGAATTATATAAAAAAATGATTTGTCTAGTTTACCATATATGGATGCTGATCACATCAATAACCTTGGCAGCAAGATTTTGGGAATACCTAGATCCATCTGGGGATTGTTAAGATTAATTGAGTTCTACATTCAATATGGCATGCACTCATATTGTGATCATTATTATCTGCTCAGTGCTTAACACAGTGCTTGGCAAATGACTGGCACAAACCTGGCACTTAGTACACTTTGGTGAATGAACAGATTTGATAAGTCAAAAGGTGCTACCAACTTACAAGAAGTAAGATGCCCAATGAGATTCTCAAGAGTTGATGGGAAAAACTGCAAGCTGGAAGAATCTATCCCATGAGTAGGGTTACCCTCACTCCTCTATCTTTGTAATCCTCTCTAATTATGGATATGGATAGCTATGTGTTGATAGTAAGAGAAACAACCTGAAAAGAAATCGAAAAAAATGGGTATAATATGGAAAAAGGCTTATTCTCTGTCTAAAACCTTTGTTAAATCTATTGAATATGAAGTCTTGCATGGTCTATATCAGTTCCATGTTGCTCATGTTAAACAGATTGTTAAAAATCTGCATGACTATTAAATTCTATTCTCCTTAGGTGAACTCTCAAATTCAAAAAAAAAAAAAAAAAAATCACAGGAAAGGCCAAGTGTGGGCAAATGACCAACTCTACCACCCAAAATGTAAATTCATGACATCTCAAACATAGTTCAGATAAACTATTGACTTCAGTAATCTAAGGCAAATCAGATTACCCACTCAGAAAGGAAATCACTGTGACAGGAAACACAGGCAGATCAGCTTTAGGGATTAAATTAAGCAGGTCATCAGCTTGACAACAACTTGAGTTGCCTGTGCTCAGGAAATGGAGCCCTGGTTCCCCATATGGAGACTGAAGCCCTGACTTCAAAAGGGCATCAGTTCACTTTGAGAAATTATGTAGAATAACTTTCTGCCTCTGGAAATATGAGTGTTGGGCAAAAAGATATGATGTAATAAATTTTAGGCTGTCATGTTGGGAAAACAATTTAAAAAATTTTTCTAAACCATGAAACAAAATGAGCAAAAATCTGACTAATCAATCTCTTTTTCTAAAGTACTATTATCTTTAAAGACCAATATATCCTTCTATTTTAAGTTTCATAGTTATGTCATAATAGACTTAAGAAAATCCATACATATTTCATTCAAAGTTTTATTTTTCTTTCAAATTTATTTTTATAGCGTTCCAAAATATTTAATTCCCTCTGGTGTTCATTTAGTGATTTACTTAGAAGGCATGCTGTGCAGACAAAGCAAGTTGTATTACAATTTCCACTTCTCTCCAATCAATTTTAAAACCTGAGACAGCCGAAAATTCATCAATCATAATGTTGGAATTATTTTTCAGGCTTACATAGGCACATAAGGATATTATTATGGATGTTAGAAACATTTCCCTTCGGTAAAAAAGCTGATGCAAATCATTGGATTGCTGTATTTTAAGATAGAGCTTGACAAAGATAAAAATCTCAAAAATAGAAATATTTATTTTACTTTTTGTAAAAATTCTTATTAAACTACTTTATTATATAGCCTTATGTATTAGACTAATAAATATAAATTAAATGAATATGTTAATTATGAATATGTCTATAATTAAGAGTGTACATGAGTGTTGTTGGTACTACCCTTAGGAAGAGAATAGGAAAATAACTCTTGGACAGATTTCCTGACACTAAAGTGCCTTTTTTATGAAGGGTCATCATCCAGTTGTCATGTTCTTGCTTTATATGCTCTCCCAGTGCCTCCTGAATTGGTTGTAGAATGTGGGACATTAAGCCCCTCTCTCTAGCTGATCGAAAAATGAGTGAACAACGAATCCAAGCTGGATTTATCAGTTTATTTTAATAAGAAATTTATATTCAAGTAATATAATCTATGATGAAAATTTAAGTGAAAGTTATATGAAACTATTTGAAATACAAGAAAATCCATCAGCGGAAAGAGATAAGAAGGAAATCAACCCAGAGAAGCAGAGACAAGCAAAGATAACTTGCCCTCAGTAAAGTGAGCAAGGCTTCTGATAACCCTAATATCTCAGGTTCTTTTTTTTCTTTCTTTCTTTCTTTTTTTTTTTTTTTTGAGATGGTGTCTTGCTCTGTCACCCACGCTAGAGTGTAGAGGTGTGATCTCAGCTCACTGCAACCTCTGCTTTCTAGGTTCAAGTGATTCTCCTGTCTAAGACTCCCAAGTAGCTGGGATTACAGGCATGTGCCACCACACCCGGCTAATTTTTGTATTTTTAGTAGAGTCGGGATTTCATGATGTTGTCCAGGCTGGTCTCGAGCCCCTGATCTCAGGTGATCCGCCTGCCTTGGCCTCCCAAAGTGCTGGGATTACAGGTGCGAGCCTCACCGCGCCCTGCAGAGAGTTTTAGATTTTCTTACTGTATCTGTGTTCTGCGAAATATGTTTTTCACCTTCCCTTTAATTTCTTCTTTTTTTTTTTCTTAAGTGGTTTCATGTAAGAAAATGAATCCTGGGTTGGGCATGTGGCTCATGCCTGTAATCCCAGTACTTTGGGAGGCCAAGATAGGCAGATCGCCTGAACCTAGGAGTTGAGGACCAGCTTGGGCAACATGGCAAAACCCCATCTTTACAAAAAATACAAAAATTCGCTTGGTGTGGTGGCACATGCCTGTAGTACCAGCTCTTCAGGAGTCTGAGGTGGGAGGATCGCTTGGCCCTGGGAAGTTGAGGCTGCAGAGAGCCGAGGTTTTGCCACTGCACTACACCCTGGGTGATAGAGTAAGACCCTGTCTCAAAAAACATACCGAAAAAAAAAGTAAACAAAACAAATGAATCCTGAATAAATATTAACTCTCCTAAATTTTTGATCAATTAATTTAAAAAATTGTTCATATATTTTTGCTAAATTTCTTGATCTATAAAATAATGTGGTTTAGGATTATTGCTATCTTTCTTGATTAGAATTCCCAAGGGGATACAGAAATTGTTGATTGGTTATAAAATCCCATTAAGAGTGGGGCATGAGTGTCTAGGCCTGTAATCACCTGTTGCTAAGAGATCCAGACCTGTTCCAGTTCATAATCTGTAAGACCCAGATACGAAGTTTTCCTGTTATAAAACACATGCCACTAAAATAATTCTCCCTTGTTTTTATTTAAACAGTTTTGGGAATTCTTCTTGCTTCCAAACAGAGGTGAGCTAAGACAAAAGACAAAGTATTGATTCCTGTTTCTCTCATAATTAGCTACATAATGTTAGGTAAACTTCAAAATTTATTCTTAAACACAGTTTTGTTTTTGTTTTTAATAAAATAGAGCTATCCGGTTGTGTTATGATTAAATGAGTTATTGTACACAAAGTTTATGGCATAGTATCTGGTAGTTACGAATACTAACAATAACATAGCTGTTAATATTGTTACTCACTTTGAAGCAGGCACAGGCTGAAAGAGAGGCACACACTGAAAAAGTAAGCATAAAAGAATACTTCTGTAGAAAGAATCAATACTATCTCATGAATGAGGATCATATACCTGCAGGTTTTTAGTCCATGAGTAGAATTTTAACAAAATCTTAGGAAAGGAATTTCAAGCTGAAAAAATTATATGAGCAAATGCCTGGGAACTATAACACAGATGATATGTGTCTTAGTCAGTTTGGACTGATGTAACCAAGTACCGCAGACTGGAAGGCATATAAACTGCTAAAATTAATTTCTCACAATTCTGGGGGCTGGAAGTTCAAGACCAGAGTGGCAGTATATGGTTGAGTTCAGGTGAGGGCCATCTTCTGGATTACAGATCGTCTACTTCTCATTGTATTATAACATGGTTGTAAGAGCAGAGAGAGCTGAAGTAAAACTCTCTTGTGTCTTTTTTTAAGGGCCCTAATCCACAGGCAAGACCTAATCATTCCCCAAAGGCCCCATCCCTAATATAATCGCTATGAGGGTTAGGATTTCAACATGAATTTTGTGGAGGTAGCGGGGACACAAACAGTAATTCTGCACCTTTTCTTAGCTAAGCAGTTAAGCATTTGACACAGCGGAACGTAATGATATGACTGGATGAGGTTTGGTTCCATTTTGCTGGCTTCCTTTTAGGGCTGATTTTTCTATCTAAAATTTGGTTTCCTTGTTTCCTATCTCTCTAACAACTCATTTTCATCAATAATATCTTCTCTGTCTTCTATCCTGAGCACTCAAATACATCATTTAAGAAAAATGTTTTCCATTTCTTTGGCCTGGAAATGCTTGTGTCCTAGGCTTAACAATTTTACAGAACTGCCTTTCAAGCTACCTATCTCCTCTCACTTCTCTTCTTTCTCTAAAAGGTAGTTTACACTCACTGTCTTCAATTTTATTTTTGTTGTTTGTTTGTATACCTTCATTGTTGAATCATTTCTAATCTGGTTTCCACTTCTCCTAAAAGGCTGCATGACGCAAAGAACAGACCACAGGTTTGGAAATTAGACACAACTGCTTTTATACCCTGCAGTTATTAGATAAATTATCATGGAAAGACTAAGCCTCACTTTCCTCATCTGTGAACAGTCACTGATATTAAGTTCTTTGTAGTTTTAGTGTAAGAATGAGAGGACCTAATCTATCTAATATACCTAGCACAGTGGCTGGTAGAAAGTCCTAGACACGTATATATTCCATCTATTTAATTTCTTTTTCCCATGGTATTTGGTCACTGTTGCTTAGATCCTATCCTATCTGACTCTGTGCCTTGTCAGTCCTCTTCAAACACTTTCCTCCTAGGTTTTACTGTATCTGTAGTCTCCTTTTATCCTTTACTACCTCTCCGTTCTTCCTCTTCAGACTCCACTCCATAGTCTTCTATTCTATACATATTTTTGTCTTTTATCAAACTTAGCCAGTTCAACATATTAAACTGTTATCTCTATATTAATGTCTCCCAAATTTATAGTTATTTAGAATGCTAACAACTCTGAACTCTATCCTAAGTATTGGTCCACGGTATCCAACATACGAATAACTGGATTAATTAGCAACCTCTTACAAATACATACACATGTTGTGCACACTCTGGCTCTTTCTTCTTCTTTTATCCTTAATCACTATCTGACCTAGCTATCTGTTATCATTTTCATGTCATTTTCATCTTCCCATGCTGTGATGAACAGAATAGTGGCTCCTAAAGATGTCCGTGTCCTTATTTCCAGAACCTACGAATATGTTGTCTTACATGACAAAGGGACTTTGCGGATAGATTTTATTAAGGACCTTGAGATGTAAATATTATACTGAATTTTCCAGCCAGGTCTAATGTAATCACAAGGGCTGGATCTTCAGAGTTGGAGAGAAGAGACTATGACAGAATCAGAGGCTGAATTTATGTGCTTTGAAGACAGAGGAAGGGGCCGTGAACCAAACAATTCAGAAAATCTTTAGAAGGTGGAAAAGGCAAGAAAATGGACTCTCCTCTACAAATTCCAGAAGGAATAAGGCAATGACAGGGCTTTGACTGTAACCTATAAAGTGTATTTTGGTCTTCTGACATCCAGAAATGTAAGACAATAAATTTAAGTCACTCAGTTTATAGTAATGTCTTCTGCATTAGGAATTAATACACACCCACCTATATAGACACCAAGACATTTTAAATTGTCTTCTATTATGTGTCTTGTATTTTCTTTTACATACTACCATAAGACTGCTTTATTGGAAGACTTCATTTTTTAGAATGTACTGCCTCAGCTCCATCATTAAGCCCCATCAAGGTGTCAGTTGTGCTGCCACCAGTTTATCAAAAACATTTGTATTGTGATCAATACCTTTTCTAGTATTTTCTCAGAGCACTTCTCAAAGTGTGGTATGCATGCAACTAATGACATGTTAAGATCATCGAGTCTTTTTCAGACTATGTTAATTTTTCTAGTTATGTATTTATGGTTTTGAAACTGGAAAGGATCCCTTGTCTCTCTCGCAGGGCGTGCGACGGGGGTGTAGCTCACTTCTTCAGTGCCCCGCTGCTCAAACCTCTAGGGGAGCACACAGACTGGCAGGCTGTGGGGCTCCGACCCCATGGCAGTGTCTAGGGGTGAATGTTTACAACTGAAGCCCCAGTGGGCATGTGTTACAGGGGGCTCAAAAGTTTAGCCATCCATAGGTGGCTTGTGGTTAGTCAGCTCAATTAGACCCCTGCCTTAGAGAAAGGACAGAGGGCTTTCTGTATTAGGTACCAGAAGAATCAGATCGCATGTGGGCTTGGAGAATGAGTGCAAGGTTTTATTGAGTGGAAGTAGCTCTCAGCAAATGGGGGAGCCAGAAGGAAGATGGTTTTCCCCTGCAGTCCCTGGGCTCTCCTCTGACTGCTCCGGCCGAATTCCACCTCCTTCCACAGGTCAATGGCCTGCCTGAGTCTGTTGTGTGTTCTTCTGCTGGCCTGCTCCCCTTGACGTGCTCTTGATGTCCAGCCGCTTGTGTGTCCGCCTGTCAGGGTCTTGGGGTTTTTATAGGCACAGGATGGGGACATGGTAGGCCAGGGTGGTCTTTGGAAATGCAACATCTGGGTGCTAAGGCAGATGTTGCACAGGAGTGCCTGTCCTCACCTAGGTCCATGGGCCCAGGCCCAGGGATGGAACCCTTACCAGGGACCCACCCTTTTCCTCCCAGCACTTCCCTGACCTGCTTTCCGTATAAGTTTCACATAGTGGTCCATACAACAAAACCATTATGTCTGTGATTTAATAGATGTTCACAGAAAAAAAAATCTAAAAATAAAAAAACTGCTTAATTAGACAAAGAAAAGCAATATTCAGATAAGGCAAAAATTGCAAAGAATTTAGGAAAATGTCACAGATTCAGAAAATGTAGAATAAAAAATTAAATTGCTTACCATTAACTCAGCTACACGAGGCAATATAATATTGAAGTACAAATGAGGTGATCCTCCCAAACTATAAAGATTTTGACTTTTAAAAATGATAATCTTTTGTGAATAACCAGGCTATTGGAAATTATTGACATTTTTGAGCAATGATAAAATTATCCAAAATTAAAAATAAATAAAATAATTACTAAAATAGAAATTTACTATTATAAGACTTGAGGTAGCTTTCTAGATTTTTAGCATTTTAAATTTTAATACATAAATAGTGATTGCTAATTATTCACAACAAGTACAAAGTAAATTCCTGGGGAGTACAAATATCCTGAGCCCTACTCTGGGCCTATTGAAGGTGAATGTGAGGGCAAGTGCCTCTATTTGTAACAAGTTCCCCAGGCGCATTGTTGTAATAGGGGAAGTTTGAAATACTGGACTGGAGGAATATTCAAAGAAAGACCCATTACTACTCTATAAAGTGTATCTAGTATGTAGATACATATCTCAAAAAAGCACTTTCCTTAATAGTCATACAAACATTGAAGAAAAATAGAAGCTTTTCTAAATTTGATACTTTTAAGACAGTGACAGCAGAAGTCCTTCATATTTACTTTTCTATTCCTCAAACCAAAGTTATGATTTCTCTCAAAGGCAAGAAACCTGGGCAAAACATTTTGCAAGTTGGTAGAGAGAACTTTTTATCAATCTTGTTTGTCACATTGTATTTATTTGCTAATAATTATATGATATAGTAAATATGACTCAAGACCAATGATGTGTCACATCACCTCCAATGAATGTTTTAATACACAAGATTATTGACTGAGAAGTGTTCAAAAATTGTAAAGGTATTTGAAAAAGGCACTGTACTTTCCTTTTTTAAAAAATAAAAAGTGGTAAACATTTATTCCAACTGCATTGCATTTTGAAACTTTTATTTTTACTTTTTTTAATAAAGCAATACTGTCTCCCTTTGTTATAATAAAATTATAAGTTTAGAATTAGAAATGCATTTTCTATATACGTAATTTTACACAGATTATGTTTCTAACGTTTTCTAGGGTATACCATACAAGATTATAGATCTTATATCATCAGTAAAATATTCAGTGTAAAAAAATTATTAAATAACGCATCTAAATAAAAACAAATATCTGACTATAAATAAGATGTTTACCTTTATCATGAATGCTGGTACTTATGGTGAAGCAATTTTACTTAGCATACTAGTCTCCACAGTAATTTATTGAAAAAGCTGAGGATTCATTTTTAAGAGAATACCAGAACCATCCTATTACCATAATTTTAACTGCTCCCACTTAAAAATTTAAGAAAAGGTAACAAAACTGTTTTTCCCTAATCTGTGTCTTTCCTTTCCTTTCACTTTTCTTCCTTTCCCTTCCTTGCTTCCTCTCTCCCTTCCTTCCTTTCTCTTTCTTTAATTTTTGTGTTGTTTTGGTTTTCTATTATAATGAAAAATGTATGTGTTTTAACCAACAGAAAAGAGTTCTGCTCTTCGCCAGCTGTATACATTTTGAAAAATATATATAATATCTCTCAGAATCAGACTTCTCATATTTTAAACAAAGAAATAATGACTCTCCTTAGAATTATTATAAAAATTAAATGAGATAGTGGCCTAGTATTTGTTTTTTTTTTTTTTGTTACATGATATCTTCTCAGTAAATTAATTACTTATTTATGGTTCTTCCCTGTTTCTAATCCTGAGATATTCTTTTCTTTCTACTTGTGGTTTTTCTGCATACCAAACTGATATTAGCTGCATTTCACTAAGGTTCTTACAAATGCAGAAATTTGGACACCCTAGTAAAAACAGTAAATGCTTTGAAATTGCTTTTATCGTAAGAAATTACTTTCCAAAGACTACTCCAGGGGCCTGTATAATTAAAAAAAAAAAAAAAAACTTCTTAGAAAATCTTCATGCCTATTTGTAAACCCACATCTTCACAATTTTTAAATTTATTAGTATGGGATATAAGCATGCTAACAAATGAAATACTCTTTAAGGCTGTGGCTCATTAGCGAACAAAGTGACCAGTGATCCAAGAACTGATATTATGTGATGTTTTAGCGCCTCCTAGTCATCCTTTAGGTGAAGTAGATATTCCCACCTTAAGATTATAGCAATGGCTAAACACATGACAACTGTCACTAGACAGATAAGATCCACGGAAGTTTATGAGTCATGCACACCCACTCCCTAGGGGAAAAGGACACTGCATTCCACACAGGGGTTGCAATCTATAACAGACGGAACAGCTAGGGGCTGTGGGGGCAGACCCACAAGAAGGTAGAGTGTCTTCTTGTCCTGGAGGGAGAATGTGGTGGGCTTGTTTGAATCATTTTGTGGGCTGGCAGAGAACTGCAAGCTGCTCAGGGATAAGCAGGAGCTTCACCTGATCCATTTGGTAAGGTGGTTTGTTTGGCTAGAGGACCTAATTTGTAGGAGCAGAGAGAAGACTTTAAAACTAGTGATTAAGCCATTTGAGGCTCATGATTTCACCAGTCCAAGCAGCACAAAATATTAGACCTTAGTTGTAAGTATTACACCAATGAAACCAAAAGCCCAGGAATGAATATAGTGAATTTCCATCAAGCCAAGGGTCTAAAACAGGGTTGTGTAACTCAGATCATCATAATGACCACCTCCAATCTACATAAGCATGGAGAGGAGATACCTCCTGGGATGTAAAGCTGAAATCTACTTATGTAATTGATATTGCTAGATTCAATCCACCCCAATTAAAATTTTGAGTACAATTAACTTTGAGTTTTTAAAATACTAGAAATTCTTTATTGTTTGATAAAAATTATTTTAAACTCAAAATATGTTATAAACTTTTACATTTCTAACTCATTCTCACATGTAAAAAAGTAGTCTTACTAGTTTGAGAATAACTATTTCAAAATTATCATTTTGTTCACTTGTTCCTTCTATTACTAGAAAATTAACAAGGGCTTTTAGTAAGTTCCCATCAATCAAATTAGCATTTTAAATAGATTATTTAAATGAAAAAGATCATTTTTTTTTCTTGTTTCAAAAGATGATTTAGATGTACCTCTAGTGATTTGGGGTTAGTTTCAACCTCTTTGTACTTTCTCTTTCCAAAAACATATGCTAATAAGTTCCCAGCAATATTGTGAAGATAAACTGAAAAGCACTTTGCATAAATGAAATGGTATATAAATGCAAATTAATAGCACTAAGGTATGTTATAATTATATATGGAATCTTCCAATATGAAATACTGTCTTAAGATATATCCCCCAGGGAAAGATAAGAATGAAAGCGTTCACAAAAGGACACATAAGATGGTTAAAGTAGAATGAAACTTACTCATACACAAAAGGAAGTCAGGGAAGCTAAGATTATTTAGCCTGGAAATGTGAAGAGATAGAGTAAATATAATTGAGTTATTTAAGATTGTGATGGGTATAGTAAAAATTGATAAGATCCTTTTTATGTGCTATTTCATAATACAAGAAGGAGGGATCACTCAAAACTAATGGAAGGTTAATTTAAAAGGAACAAAAGGAAATGCTTAATCTTCGCATAGTGTAAAGTCAAACCACGTAATTCAATACTTTAGGAAATTATAGATTAAAATACAGAGGCCACATTTTAAAAATAGAAAAAAATGAACATTTTGTAGACAAAGCAATTTTCCATATTAAATGGAGGAGAATGTAAGGCCAATGAAAATAGATGATGATCGTTAGTATTTGTAATATGGTTATTTCATCTCTCAATTTAAGTGTAGAATTAGCCATGGACCAAGGAGACTGCTGAATTTTTAGTATTCTAGATTCACTTATAATTGTATTTTCAAGGAGGAAAGTAGTGAACCCATGGATGTGTCCACACCTCCTCATTGCTATGCTCCATATTTATTCCACATTCTTTTGTTCTCTTACTAATAACCTGGATTTCTTTTATTAATTTACAATCTTATCTGTGTAAAAAACTTATGTAGCCAATAAATCATTAAAACACTGCTACATAATCATATACTGTATATTAAAGTTTGAATTTTCCAAACTTATTTTATATTGAAGAGCTGTGGGAATGAATTCAGCAAGCAGAAATTCTGATCTTATAATATTCAATATTTTGTGCTGTTTTAATGATAAATATTAATACTGTAGTAATTTCAATATGAACATTTGGAAGAGAAGAATGCATTTCAATCATGCACACAATTTAATAGAAAATAAATTTATGAGAAAAAATGTTTCCATTTAAATGTTTGAGGATGTTAAAATGTGGGGAGTTCTAAGTAAATGTAAAAGCTGAAAATAAAAATGGTCTTTCTAGATACAAACAATAAAGACACATTATTATTATTATATCACTATTTAAAAAGCTTAAAACAAGTTAATATCATTTTTATCAATGACTATTTCTTCTAAAAATGTTTCGAAAATGAAAGTTGGTTAAAATTTGAGGGGGAAAAGTATAATTTTACTAGAACAAATATTTCCTTTAATAAAAATTAATAAACAGCCACATTGACTATTGTTTTTCCTACTTGAGAAGCTGACCAAAACAGGATAAGTCTATTTTTATTTAATTCTCAGCTTCTTTTCAGGGCAGTCTCCCAATTTTAGAGAATTATAAGTTCCAGGAACAATCCAATATACCTGTTACAGCTGAAACTTAATTTCATTTTAACAGCTCAAAATGTAGCACTAAGGACTTTGCTTAAATAGGGATTGAACAAATCCTCTATTGGGCAGATATTTTAGGACTTCTAAATTAAGAAAATTCAAAGCACAGAGTCTGATAGCAGTGACTTTATGTTACATATTTTAACAAAATGAGGAATGTGAAGCCAAGAAATGAGGAATATGAAGAAAAGCTGGATGCACAGCTGTTATGTCTTAATTATGAGAAATGTGAAAAGAAAGATAAAGTGAGAGAAGTGGTATGCAATATGGAAAGAGGGGTGGAAGTTGTTTTATTTTGTTTTGTTGTTTGTTGAGTTGTTTGTAAGCAATAAGTACACATTTTAATTACTATTATATATGGTAATTTTTTTCTAACTAGAAAAAATTCAGCCTCATAGGAAAAATTTTTTAAAGTATGCCTATATAAACCATTTCCAAAGATTAAACAATTTTCTAGTGTAGTTTAAGGAAGCCTTAAGCTGTGAATATGTGCTTCAATTATATAGCTAAATTTTAATATAATGAGGTTATAAAACAAATTTAAGTTTCCCAAAGCACTCCCTTACATATTGAAACCTAATTGCCCACCCAGTGAAATCCATAATACCCTCATACCATGATTTATATGCCAACTTATGGCTGCTTCTGTCTTGCAACAATTAGAATATTATGCAAATACATCAACAATACTGTTATAATTTATACTTAGAAATTATTTTTATTTAAGTGATTTTCATTATGATCGTTTTCTTTTTTAGAATATTATTATGGAGTCTAGAGAAAATTCAAAGTATTCAATTAATGATTTCTTAAAATAGGCCATGTTAAATACATATTTCTTTGGTAGAATAAATCAACTTTTACATTTATTTGTCATAACCATTGTTCTTTAATTAGATACTCATATTGCAAAAATAATGTATAAAGATATTTCTGGATAAATTATTTCCATCCATCAAACTTAGAAAGAGCATCTACAAACAGAGTTTTGAAGAGCAATAGTTACTGTTCACTTTCCCAAAGAAGCTTCCATTAATTTCATATTTTACATGTCTTTATTTGAATTAGGAAGCAATGTTAATACAAATATGGAGCATGTAGAAAGAGACCTTTGGTGGAGATTTTATGGTTCCCTGAGACTATGAAGATAAGTTAAAGTGACACATCAATATCAACTGCTATTTATAATGAGGGAATCACTAGCAATTATAAACATAATTAAGCAGCAATTGACTAGTCAGATATCCTGGAGCTGAAGTTTTTTTCTGATATTACAAATAGAAAGTTTTTGAATTGCTAAGGTTCTTCTTGGTAATATAAGAGTTTCTCTTCTTAAAGAAAAGAGGTAAAAACTAATATTGAAGAAAAATTGCAGTGGACATAAACAGACAAGGAAGACTTTATTCAAGACTATTACAATATGGAAGACAGACTGAACTTAACTCTGTTGAAACAAAAAGCAAGAAAAGTGAGCCGGTGGAAAAGTACTGAAGGACATTATAGGGAAGCATGGTGTATGTGATGAGGCCATTTGTGTGTGCTAATTGGTGCCTGTGGACATTAGGCCCCTACCCTCTCACAGAAACTGGGAGATGGTGACACTCTGTTCTTTGATGACTATATTTCAAAGAGATGGCTCTGTTTCTTGAAACAGATATTCCTGGGTTGTAGGAGGCAGGGAGAAGATTTACATCTCAAAAGGACAGAGAGAGAATTTATAATTCTAAGTTTTCTAAACTAAACACTCCAAGAACAGGGAGGTTAGGGACCTACAGTCAGGGAGAAACCTGTCTAAAGTTTAGTAGAGGTGAGGAAGATGAATAGACCATCTTGGTCACAAACAAATCTATTAGTTTCTTGTATCTCAGCAAATAAGGAAGAAGAGATGAATAAAGGAGTCTAGAAAAATAAGTAGCTATTGCAACTGAAGTACTGCAACAGCATGTAAAGTGTTAGTAGGTTTTTAAGGTTTTAATCCAAGTTCTGTAAGCTTTCTGGGTCACAGGTAATCTTGGAGAATGCACTCTAGCAAACTCAATTCTCATATTGTATCTAACAGGCAAGAAAACCAAATTCCCCTGCAAAATAAGAATTAGGAGAATATGAAAATCTATTGATATCTGTTTAGCCCATTAAAATATTATTGAGCATGTCAAAATATTATTGAATTTTTTCTTAAAAATATTTCACATAAATGTTTTCTTAAAATATTTATGTTACTTTGGTGAAACAATATTCTCAAAAACAAATATTTTAAAGTAGTTTTGTAAAATATTATTGATTGTATTATTATTGATTTCATTAGGATCACCAAAGATCTTTGCTAAAATTTTACTTCCTTGTACCTCTCCAGACCCAATAAATCAGAATCTGAGAATGTAATTCAGGAATTTGTTGAGCTACCTGGGCAAATATTTGAAGAATACAGAAAATAATTTTTAGAAATAATTGAAATAGGTATGTAAAATGAAATCAATGAATAAGAAAAAGTATGTCAAAGGAATGTGTATATTAATTCTAGTACTATACTAGTACATAATGATATATACACATATATAGTACTATGTTAGAGTATTGAGGAATATTATTAATTATGTTTTTTAAAAGTTAAATTTATTTCAGTTCAACAAATATATCTTGCGTGTCTACTATTCTCAGGCAATATGCCTCATACTAGTAATGCAACAAGTAATAAAATAAATAAGTTAATATGATTCTTTTTTTCAAACTGTTCATAAAATTATTAGGCTACAGCTTTTGTATTTCTAAGCATAATTTTAACAAAATATATTTGCATAGGCCAGATTTGATTCTTCTGACAGCTTTGAAATTGCTACAACTTAATTTTCCCCCTTAAATATTCAAAACCTGGTTAGTAGAAACAACAGAGGAGGTGATCGATTATATCTGTTTCTATAAGTTTTTATGCAGACAGTTGTGATCCTTTGGATCATATGTTGAAATATGATTTATAGTAATAGATTTGGCAAAAACCATAATGAAGAGCAGTTGTGAAACATTGTCTTTGGCATGTAGTAAATATCTACCGTAAGTAATGTGATCAGAATACTCAACAACAGACACTATGAAATACTGTACTGATTTTTTTGACTGGATTGGATAAGAGACTCAAATGAGCAAAAATTAACATGATCCTACAGCACTGAATGAGGATGGAAAGTTTAATCAAGCTCAACATAAAGAAATATCCAAATGAGTTGTTCTTCAGGTAGTATTTGCTAAATGAGAAAAAAACAGATTCATCGTAGGAAAGCGAGTGGGATTTTCCTTTTTTTTTTTTTTTTTTTTTACTTTTTTATCACTAAAACCCTAAGAAAGCAAAAGTAGAACTTAAAAAGTGACATTTCAGGCATTTTTATAAAAATTATTTAGGAAATAATATGCACACCATAGTGAAAGAATGGTGCAGGGATTCTGAGAAATAAAAGCAGTTTAGTGGGGATTAATTATAAATGAATGTGAAAAAAAGAAACAGATCTTGCTTTTTTTCTGCTAATTCTAGGTTGCCGTGTAATTCTATGATCCTATACAGAAATTTGGGAAGAAGCATAGGGAAAATTGAGCCTCTTTAAAAGTTCAAAGATAGGTTTAAATAATTAGTTGACTAAATTAAATTAAACCAATGTATGAAGTAAATTCATAGCATTAAGTAATGCCATGAGGCTTATTTATAAGAATGTCACAGTGAAAAATAGTTTTGTACCAAGTAATTTTTCCTCCCTTATAAATATTTATTTACTTTGGTGAAACAATTTCTTAAAAACAAATATTTTAAAGTAGTTTTGCAAAACTGAACAGATAATTGTTTTACTTGTACCAATAATTAAGAATGTTTTTATATTTGCAGAAATAATGCTATAAAAGCAATATAAAAATTATAAGTAATTATTTTATTTTACATAAATAATTATTTGATTAGTGAAGCATGATATATGTATGCTCTTCTGTTAGTTTGCATAACTATAAATGTGGCAGTGGATCATAAAATTAACCAGTAACTTTTTAAAAATACAACAGTATTTTGTATGTTTAACTTTATGCCTACTTATAGCTGTTTGTTTTCACATTGTGTCTAGGCAATTTCATTGCTATAAAATTATTGCTAATTTAAAAAAATTCCTTAAGAGTAAATAAAATAAGGTTTAGTTATATTTAATTATTAAACAGTGGAGTTCATATGATAAATTAACAACAAATCTACCAGCTAGTGGATAATCACTATTAGCTTTTGAGAGTCTTCCAATCCACAATCTATGTGTTTTAAATATTCATATTAGAGAACTCTTTGTAGAATAAGACCCAATTACATATAAATAGGACATCGAATATATAATATGATCTAAGGCATATATGCATGTATAATTTTTAATAAAAATATGTAGTTTGTAAATTTTTTATTTCTTTCATAATTAAGTATGTGCATTAGTCAGGGTTCTCTAGAGGGACAGAATTAATAGGATAGATGAATATATAAAGGGGAGCTTATTAAGGAGTATTAACACACATGATCACAAGGTGAGGTCTCACAATAGGCCATCTGCAAACTGAGGAGCAAGGAATTCATTCTGATTCCCAAAGCTGAAGAACTTGGAGTCCGATGTTCGAGGGCAGGAAGCATCCAGCACACAAGAAAGATATAGGCTTGGAGGCTAAGCCAGTCTAATATTTCCACGTTCTTTTGCCTGCTTTTATTCTAGCCACGCTGGCAGCTGATTGGATTGTGCCCACCAAGATTGAGGGTGAGTCTGCCTTTCCCAGTCCACTGACTCAAATGTTAATCTCCTTTGGCAACACCCTCACAGACATGCCCAGGAACAACACTTTGCTTCCTTCAGTCCAATCAAGTTGACAGTCAATATTTACCGTCACAATGTGCTTTCTCAATATTATTTGATGGAAATCAATAAGATCAATGAATTTAAATGAAAAAAAGCTTTTGAAAAATTAATCATCATCATCTTAAAACTCACAGAAATAAAAAGGAAAAATCTGTATATACACGTATATGTATGTCAAAGTGAAATTTCCAAAGTTACTTTGAGAAAGTAACTTTGCCTTTATTAATGTGTATATACATGTATGTATGTTTGCATATATTAAAATTTACATTACATATGCTTGTATGTAACAGGATTACCAGAGATCAACCCAGTAATATGTCTTACCACATTTTTAAAAATCTCTTTATACCTGTCTTCAAATCACCATGTGTTAAGGCCAAATGCCCAGTTTGCATGTATAACAACAAGTATGCTACTTTTAATGTTAACATAGGGCTTGTATTTATTGGGCAATTATATAATGACATAAAAGAGTGGGAACTCAAAACCTCAGATGTACAGTAAGCATAAATTTTAAAAGATTTTAGAAAATTAACTTGCCATGTTTAAAAAGATACTGTCATGTAACGTAAGAATAAATACTTTTTTAAGAAAAAAAATCAAGTTCATGCACCTGATCAAATAGTTTGCAGTGGAGATAAGATTTGAAGAAATTACATTCCAATCTCATATTATATTATTTTCACTTGAAAGTGGTTTTTAAAAAAGCAGAATTTAAAAAATTTTAAAGAGACAGTACTAAGGTACTGACAGATGCAGAGTTACCCAAACTTTCATTCATTCTCGTGGAAATGTAAAATGGTACGGTTATCTGGGAAAAGAGTGGGAACAATTTCTTATAAAGTTTAACTGGTATCAAACATATGATTTAAAATGTGAAAAATTTTGTTGACACAAGAAACTTTATGCAAATATTCACAGTAGCTCAATGTATAATTGACAAAAATTGGAAAAAGAGTCTTTCAACTGATAATTAGATAACAAACGCTGGTATACTCATGAAATATGAAAAGGAAAAAACTATCATAGTGTTAGTATATATAATAGCATAGACGAACCTAAAAGACAATATACATGAAAGAATCCAGACCCAAAGGCTACATACTAAATGATTCCATTTATATGAAGAAGATCAGTAGTGGTCTGTGTTGGGAATGCGGGAGGCCACACAAGTGAATTTCTTTAAATAAACTGTTCTATATCTTGATTGTTATGACAGACATATTCTTTAATGTATTTGTCCACATTTATAGAATTGTATAGCAAAATGGTGAATTTTAGTGAAGGAGATGTTAGATAGATAGATAGATAGATAGATAGATAGATAATAGGTAGATAGACTGAAAAGAAAGCAGAATTTAAAGACTATAATTGAACATACTCTCCTTCCTTATTCCCAAAATCCACAATGAAAATTACATTGTTCTTGAGAATAAACCTCTAAATGAATGTTAATATTGTAACATAAAAGAATGGATTCAGGTATTTGAGAAGAGAAAGTGCAATTTCCATTTAGGTATAAGAGATATGTAACTTGGAAAAAGTAACTCTGCCTTTATTAAAATTTCTTAACATAAAATGCAAGCTAATTGAAATTAATAATTCTTACCATCAGTATTTGGAAAGATTCATATAACTTTGTATGCCTGGCAAATAGCAGAAACTCATAAAACATTTATTTTATAAATATTTTAATACTATATTACTGTGGTTTGTAGTAATAATAAACTATTTTTTAAGGTAGATGCCAAAGTGAAGATACCAACATTAGCCAAAATCAAATTCCGTTTTTATAAAGGACAAGAAATAATTCCAAATGAACATTTGCACTTATTAGTACTTCATAGTATAAGCTCTAATAGTCTTCTCATTGTAGACAGAAAATATTCTAAAATAACTTTATAGATATATATGTGATATATATTATGATATTTAAATACCCATGTAGACTTCAATAGATTTCGTTTAATGCAACAACCAATATCAATTAATCTACAATATTAAATTCTTCTATAGTAAAAGAGCTGTTGTGTTATTGATTCATTTTGCTTTTACTATGTTTTATCTACTACCTCTTTATTACTACTTTATAAGTATTTTTTGCCAAATTTTATCTAAAGACAGGAAAAACAGCTTTTGTTAAAGAATCTGAAAACATATATAAAGTGCGTCTACTTATTATTTATCATTTGTCTCTAAAAATTAACTCCCTGAATGACATTTATAATATTGCAAGCAGAGATAATAATATCCGTTCTTGTTTAAAAATTCAGTGTATTCCTAACTTTTCTGTTGAAAATGTTGTCACAAACTTAACCTTTCTGATGCTTTGTCATTTAAGACGTATAATTTGAGAAATCCAAGATAACTGGAAATATCAAGATAGTGATTTACTTTATTTCACATAAAGGGATCATTGAAGTAGCAGTGGCAACGATGTTATGAAAGTTCCATGGACGTCAGAGATCCAGGATCTTCTTGTTTCCTCACCACCATCATCAACTTCTCTGTCTTTTTTGGTGAGCAGTTTCCATCTTCTGTATCAAATTACTATTTCAAATGGGATAGAAAGATTATTTATGAAGGAAAAATAAAAACATACACACACACAACTCCCTGTTTTGAGAATACCTTTTAAATAGCTCTTCTAGAAGCTCCACCCAGCAAGTCTTCCGTTGTTTACTTTGGTTACCCTAACTGCAAGGAAAGCTGTAAAATATTATTTATGAACCGTGTTAAAATCAGTTTCTTATTAGCCACAATTACCCCTCCCAAAGGGGGACAACCACAGGATCTTATCTACTTACTCTGTAAAATCTATAGACTTTTATAGGCTATATATTTGTGCTGGGTAGACTTAACCTCCTATTTGTAACCCATAAAGTAAAATTCAGTCTTGCTTGGGTCCAGGAAGTTGACGCTGCAGTGAGCCTTGTTCACACCCTGCACTCTAGCCTAGGCAAACGAGCGAGATCCTGTCTCAAAAACGAGCAAACAAAAATTGATGTTTTATCTTCTCATAATATACTAATTCCATAATGGAAAAAGAAGAACCAGAAAATCTCTCTGAGTTAGTAAAGTATAGAATGAAAAGTGCATTGTATTCACTAGATCATAGCTATACCCAATCTTGTTTTTACAGAAATTGACACAAATGATGCTAACTTGGTTTTCATTTAGCACGGCATATAATTGATACTTAAAAAGCAAATCTGTCACAAAATTCATGCTCAATTAATACATACTTGAAGAATGAATAATCAAAGTATGTATCTAAGTAGGAAGAAATATTAGTTTTTGTGTGTATTTGATGCGGCAAGAGAAGACAAATTTAGGTTTCAATTGCATACCAGCTAAACATTGAGACTTCAAAAATCAATAAAATAAAAGACTTGTGATAATTAAACATTTATTATAAATGATCATTTTTATGACTTTTAGAAACATGATAAGTTAGAATTTTAGGCTGAAGATTTCTCTGATGGTATAAAAAGTTTCATGAAATAGGTTAGGAGACAAGAGGCTGAAAGCAAAAGAAATAAAAAAATCAATCGTATAATCTTTAAAATATACATATGATTTTTATCATTGTTAATAATAATATTATCCCAGCACTTTGGGAGGCCGAGGCGGGCGGATCACGAGGTCAGGAGATCGAGACCATCCTGGCTAAAACGGTGAAACCCCGTCTCTACTAAAAATACAAAAAATTAGCCGGGCGTAGTGGCGGGCGCCTGTAGTCCCAGCTACTTGGGAGGCTGAGGCAGGAGAATGGCGTGAACCCGGGAGGCGGAGCTTGCAGTGAGCCGAGATCCCGCCACTGCACTCCAGCCTGGGCGACAGAGCGAGACTCCGTCTCAAAAAAAAAAAAAAAAAAAAAAAAAAAAAAAATAATAATAATAATATTATTAGTTATTTGATTTATATAGTTACAATATATTGTAAATATTTTTATACTCAAAATATTCAGCAATTTCTAATCTGACATAGAAATACTCTTTAATCCATTAATTATTAATGATTAATACACTATTAATTCTATCCACCATGGTTCTCTCTTATATAATTACTGTACAGTATGAACTCTAGCCTATTGTACATGCTCTAATAAATATTATCATTTAGTAGTCTTCTTATAATATTCATAGTGTACTTAAGCTTTCTTTATATATATATATATTTGGATCTCTTACTTCTCCCCTTATCTTATTCTTATTTTAGCAAGAAGGGAAGGGAAATTGAGATAGTCATCATCTGTCCTTTTCTAAGTTGACAATCATTATCTACTAAATAATTTATAGTTTTCTGCAAAGTGTTTAGTTTTGTTAATTTTCTGAATCTCATTAAAATTTCTATATCATTTCTTCCTGGCTGTTACCCCTGGATGCTTCCTTTATTTCATAAAGGCATTTCTCTCTTCTTTTAGTAGTGGTATGGGGAAAAAAATGATAACCCCTAATAGGTGTGTGTGAGGAATGTATGAATACATGTGACTGTGTCTATGTGTTTATGCATTTGTGAGTGAGAGAGAATGGGAAAGAGACAGAGATACCTTTCAACATTCCAATCTTGGCATAATTTTGTATTTCCTAAAGTATATGTTCTCCAAAACTTAGGCCTTGAAAATGTTTGCTAAAACTACTTAACATCTCAGTATAAGCAAACAACAAACCAAAATTCCAAATCTCATTGAAGTAAAGTTTTATTCTAGATTAAACAACTGTAATATTTATTAATTATATTGCTTTATATATTGCTATGGGTAATTTGATTCCACAGCTTCTCAAAACGGAGTAAAAATATGATGATTTATATATTGTTTTTAAGAAAAACATATTTGCAAGTCGTAGATTGTTTTAAACATAATCAATAGAAAGTCTAGTCATGTGTTAAAACAAAAATATATCACAATAAACAGAATATCTTGTAAATATAAATCCTCAAAGCAAGAATCACTTCAATGTTATTCTTTAAAATATGTCCAATTATAGAAGTAGTTGAAACTTAAGCAGCAGAATTGAAAACAAAGACAAAGTATTATTTTTCAATGCATTAATCTAATCTATATAACAATGAGAAATATAAAAATCAGAAAGGGGATTAAATTCCCCTTATTTTAAATTATTGGAAAGCATATATATTGGCTATAATTTAGAATTTCGATATTATCAGGATTTTCAACGTTTTTAAAATAGCTTGAAAGCTGAATATTTTACAGAAATGGTTAAGGCTCAGATTGATATGATTATAGATATCTATATTTTACAATTGAGGAAAATGAAAAAAAACTGTGTGATTTGAAATCGTTTGCACGCAAATATCTACTTCAAAGATGTATGTTAATGCTTATAGGATGATATTATGGATCAGTCAATTCAGAGACACCACGTTATGTATTTGAACAATTCAGACACTGAGGGTCTTGAGTGTTGAAGCTCCAAATTCAAAGAATAGTCAAGTGCTCACAGTGTTATAAACATTTACTCAACTGAACTGATTTGAGAGTTAGAGGTTTTCACTTGATGTACATCCAATGAGAGGATGTAGAATCTTATTCTTCAAATTATGTTTTATCATCTTAAGATAAAGTCAGTCCTAGGATTCTATTTGTTAATGTTCTGTGCTCCAGGATAAACATGTCAATTTCTTTAGGTGTTGCTTAACTAATATATTAACAAGAATTAGCATTATCCTGCTGCTCCCATTGATATATGCTTCAGTTTATCAATTTTAATTGTCAGTATTGTCCCCTAAAACCAGGTATCATACTTGAGGTGCTAGGAGTGTTTTCAGCTGGAAGTCACCTTAAATATCAATGAAGTTGAATTTCCTATTGTCTATCACTATCACTGGGACACTGTAATATGTTACTTTATCCAATGGTCACTTATTTGGAAGCCTCAAATATTCACAGGAGGGAAAAAAAAAGGAAAAACAAAACAAAACAAAACAAAACAGAATGTCTCTCTAAGCATGTTGGGGCAGCCAGGGAATCCTGGCAGTCAGTCAGAGCAGATGGTGTAGACCAGGCTTTGGCAGAGTCAGATCCCTACACAGTTGGGATTCAAGAAAGTAGAGATGGACTAAACACAAGTCAAGCACTGGCTGGCCAACTAAATATATCAGAATTAACACAGACAAGAGGAGCATCAAGGGTAGTTCTATATGAGCTGCTATTGGTGCTTTCTTCCATTTCACAATAATTCTTTGAACTCAAGGCAAGAACAGCTTAATTCCTACACCCTTTGGAGCTGTCTTTAAAGGGGCCTTAATGTGTTCAAGTGGAGTTGAATTCTATTCCTGAGAGAGAGACAGTAAGTTTAGCTGTGCAGGCATTTATCTTCACTTTTTCATTCAATTAAGGTAGCCCCAGAAGTGAGCTTAAGATTTAAGGCTATAATATTACTTTTATGTGCTCTGATAATGTAAATACGACAAAACACCAAGTGCAATTCTAATGTTTAAAATTGACTGAAGACATAATGATCTGTTTAAAACTAGAAGGAAGACCGTTCGAGTTGGATTTATCATGAGGGGGTAAATAAAGATGCAGTTCTTATGGATTCATAAAGTATTTGCGAGAGTAATTTTGTTTATATGAGATTTTCTTCTTTACTGCATTAAGAATCTATAATTCTCATGTTAGATTCTACTACTGTTGTTACCATGGCAGCAACAATATACTACTATAGGGGACTCTCTGCTATATTCAAGGAGAGCAAGCATTAACAAACAGATGAATATCCAAGTCTGAAATTGTGGTTTTGTTCTGTGTCACTAAATAAGTTCCACTGGGGAAAAGAAGTAAAGATAAATATCTGTCTTGTCAGCAAGATTGACTGGAACTTCTTAGTGGTCCTAGAGATTTGGACTAGATTTTGACAGTATTCTTATTATTGACAAAGTGTCATATAAAATGTCCCCTATTAGTCAAAATAGACCTTATATAGTGTGGGCAATGTGAGTCAATTAAACACTCAATTAATTTAGACAACTTATATGTTCATTTATTATTTTATTCCAGTAAACGCTTGTATTAACTTAGAATATAATATACATCATGCGCTGTTTGTGAAATGTTGAAAATAGCAGTGAATCAGATAGCTAATTCTTTAAATATTCTTCTATTCTATTTTAAGAAGTCAAAAAACTCAACAAAACCAAAGATAAACAAATAAACAAGACTGATTTTAAATAAGACAAAAATGCTTGAACAAGCCAAGGGGGAGAAAGTTTATAAGGTGGTAAACTTGGAGTTGAGACATAAGCAATGAGGGGCAATTCAACAGCATAATTAATTGCTGTCTCGGTAAATAACAGATGATACATTGCAAATGACTGAGGTGGTCTATTGGCTGTTGGGAACAGAAAAAATATGTGGACTTGTATCTCTTAAAACTTCCACTAGGTGATTGATTAATTTTATTACATTCTTAAACTTTTTTTAAAAAAAGCTAACACTTTTTAATCTCATTTATTTTGTCTTATTGTTACAGTACCACTTAAGATTTCCTGTTATAAACAGAAATATGTCATTGGAATCTTTAGCATTATATTCAGAACCTATTTATTCTTTAATACAGTTGTATCTAAATAGTATAAATAACAACTAAATTTTATATCATAATATTATCTATAAAACAAACAAGATAGAGAAGATCTAGAAAAACCGTGCTATTTTTCCAGAAAATAAGTGGTTGAAAATTATAATTTCTAGATGATTTCCAGTTAAAATGTAATTTTTTCTCAAAATGCAATAGATTTTCTAGATTATTTTTGTATCAACGTTTCTTAATTAGAGCTAGAAGACAAACATTATTTTTGTATGAGAACATGTGAAAAATAATAACTGGCTAATAAATCAATAAGTGTATGGTAGATAAATATAGAAAAGTTTGAATTTTATTTTTAATAATTAATAAGGAGGTATATTTATACTTGCTAATACAAATGGTAATTTTGCATAGTTTCTAAATGGCAATTGGATTTATCTTCACCACAAATATAAAATACTTTCTTTAAAAGTATACTCAATAAATGACAAAATCGAAATGATCAAAAAGTAAATATTGTTTTTGGCTGTGTTAATTTTGATTGTTCTAAGTAGGAAAGCTATTTGATCATGTGGCTAATTTGTTCAATTTTGCATGAAATTGGCCAACGAGGTAGATAATACATCCCAATTTGGAGGAATATTAATTGGTGGTGTACTTACATTCAGACATAGCTTATCTTTACATATGTATTGCAAAAAAAACTAATTTCAGAGAAAATGGAAACAATTGCCCAAAACATCATATTCAGAGCTTTTTATTGTGTCTGAAATGTATTAATACACATAATTCATGAAAAAGTCGAATGCGTCCTCTATACCCCTGCTTCTATGTATAGTTTTGACTTAACCATGTTGCTTTTAGAAAAAAAACTTGTATATATTAAAATGAAATACATTTGAAGAATATTAGAAAACATTAAGTATATATTCTATAGTATTTTCTCATGACTGAGTTTCCTCTTCTTTTTCATGAATGATTGTAACTTTTGTCTGACGCATCATAATCTGTCATCATGGAAATCGTCACCTATGCCAGCATCCCACTGCTTGTATTCAATTTGAAAACGGTATGTAAAGTTTGTCAAATTCATGTGTTTTCAGCATGCTACTTTGTCATCGTTTTTCAGGTTAAAAAGCCACCACATCTACGACTGCAGTTTTCCCAGCAGAAAACAGGTGTGTATTGATTAGATCGTCAGCAGGGAAACAACAGTTTTGTCTCTTCCTTACCATGTCATTATAATGTAAAGTAGCAGCTAAAATATGGCACCAAGCTGATATGTACTGAACTGGAGGTAAAGTTTCCAGGTGTTTGGGAAATTTTCAATGTGAATTGGCACAAAGGTTTGATTTTCCTCATTTAATGGCAGCATTTTGCGCATTGCCTATTTTAGGAGGGTCTACATTTTTTACAAGTATTCCATTCTCTCTGTCTCCCTCTCTCTCTCACACACTTTGTCTTTTTTCTCTCATATATATGAGATATATATATGTGTGTGTGTGTGTAAATATGTCGTGTGTGTGTGTGTATATACATATATATATACGATAGCTGGAAAGCTGCCTGCTAACCTGTTAGCAGTAGTTGGAGGAGGCGCATGGCATTATAGCTAATCTTATCCTCTATATATTTGTTTGTTTTTATTTACAATTTTTCTCCACCAAACATATTTCATTTATAAATTTTAAAAGTAAATTAATAGAAATATAAGACTTATAAACATAGACACTTAAGATGCATGCTAAAGTTAATAGGGTTATATCTAGGTTGAAGAAAATATTTTTAATTAGTTTGTACCATTCTTTATTTAGAATATGTAATGCATCTTAGGATTGTCAACTAAAATAGATTTTTCCAATGAGAAAAAATATTATTTCAGAACTGCCATTTTACATAAAAGCACTATAGGTTTTGATCAATTGCCAGAAAAATTAATTTTCTGGAAAAAGGTTAATTTGGAAGATAATAAATTAGAAATTTGCTTCATTAAAATATATTGTATATTAGAACTTAAATAAATATTTTATATATAGCAAAATAAATTTTTGAAATGTATGAACCTCTATCAATAGAATAAAGAGGGATGATTACATGAAAGAGTGAAGAATTAAAGAAAGACGGGTAATCTGACCCTAAATTATCACGCTACGGTTCTATTGTGATTTTCAGTATTTTTTTAAAAAGATCAAATATCCTTTTAGATGACTACAGATGACTTTTTTGTGTGTCTTAGAGATATTATCATAATTTATTAAAACAATCATATAGCTGAAAAAAATCTTGGACATGATTCCTTGTCGCTCAGCTTGTATTTCTCGAGTTTCTACTAAGTGGTAGGCACGGGGTTTCCTCTGTGAATGTAAAGAATAAAGAAACAGCAAGCAAATGAATGTGTTTTCTCCCCGCAAGTCATGAACAGACTAAAGACAAAAATTGACAAGTGTAATCCCAAAACTGAGTATTAATGATTTTATGAAGGTAAGCATAAAATGATACAGAAACACACAGAAAAAACTCTAACTCTCTCTTTGAATTGCCCCAGGTTTTTTATCCTGGCTATTACCTTAGTCCTGACTTACGGCTGCCAAAGTTCTTCAAACCAGTTTCTATTTCATGTATCAAAAATGCTCTCTCTATATTAATAAACCTTTAAAATGTAGGCCTACCATAAAGCCTGATAAATATATTATTTTATAAATTTTAGTTTATAAAGTTTAGTTTATTGACAGGCCTCCTGGTAGCAACAGCAGTAGTAATAGTAGCAGCAGAAATAGCAACAATAATGTGTCATGCATTGGAGCCACTGAGTCTCAGATATGCCCTGGCTGTATATCCAGGCATCACCTCATCTGATTTTCATACAAACATCTGCAGTAACAGGGAAGTGGAAACTGAAGCTCAAAGAGGGTCAGAATCATATTCTAGTATCAAATCAAATAACCACTCTGATATTTTTTTTCCAAAGCCTAAGGCAATTTTTATTATACTGATGCTTATATTACATAATGTTTTGAAGTATGAAAATTGCTTTAATATAAATTATTCCACTAGTTTCTTACAGATATTTTGAGAAGGCAATAGGAGCAATATTTTTAAAGTCAGGCTTAAGTTATGAAAGTCACATAGTAAATTGTGCCATTTTTATGTGTATATTCTCTGAGTTCTGAAACAAGGTATGTCATACAAATATAATTTAAATCAAGTTCCATAATATTTCCTTCACCCCAAAAGTTCCTTTATATTCCTTTATGATCAATCCCCACGTCCACCCCAAGTCCCTGCCTGGCAACCACTAATCTGTTTTCTGTCATAATTATAATTTTACAGAAAATCACATAGAGTCATTTAGTATGTAGTATTTTAGATTTCTGAAAAGAAAAAAGGAAAGGGAAGGGGGAAAGGGAAAGGGAAAGAGAAAGAGAAAGACAGGTCTTGCTATGTTTGAGACCAGGCTGGTTTCAAACTCCTGAGCTCAAGTGATCCTCCCACCTTGGTCTCCTAAAGCCTGGGATTGCACATGTGTGCCACTGCACCCAGCCTGTAGCCTTCTTTAGTCTGGTTTATTTCACATAACAATGCATCTGTATTTGATCTGTGTTGTGCCATGTATCACCTGTTCCTTCTTTTATATCACTGGATAGCATTCTATTACATGGATAGTTGTAGTAAATGTTGCTCATCTATTCACCAGACTGGGAGTTGATGTATTTCCAGTTTTTTTTTTCAATTATGACTAAGTTTTCTATAAACATATGTATAGTTTTGTGTTTGGCCATTTACTATTATTTCTGTTCACTACCTAGGAGGAAGATTAATGGCTTGGGATACATTAATATTTGCTTAACTTACCAATAAACTATTGAATCATTTTCCAAAGTGGCTACATCATTTTTCAACCCCGGTAGCCATGTATGTGGATTCCATTTGTTCTGCATCCCCTCCACCACTTGAAACTGCCAGATTTTTAAAAAGTTTAGTTGTTTTTGTAGGTATGTAAAGTTAATCTGCATTTAGCTAAGAGCTAATAATGTTGAGCATATTTTCAAATTTTATTTTACACTCATATATCTGTTATAAAATTTTAATTCAAATCTTTTGTCCCTTTTTTCTTTTTATTTTTGAATAGAATTAGATCTATAAATCCATTTTCAGGATAGTACAATTCCCATACAAACTGCCCCAGATTTCCCAATTATTAACATCTTGCATTAGTAAGATATACTTATTACAATTAGTGAAACAATGTTGATATAGTATTATTATTAGCTAAATCCATATTTTATGCAGATTTGCTTAGTTTTTACCTACCATCAGTTTTTTGTTTCAGTATCACATACAGGATATCACATTATATTTAAACTGTCATTTTCCTAGTGAAGAGTTTCTTGACTATGAAAGTTTCTCAGACTTTTCTTGTTTTTTATAACCTTAAGAGTTTTAAGGATTAATAGATATTTTGTAGAATGCTTCTCAACTGGGATTTGTCTGATATTTTTCCTATGATTAGACTAAGAGTTATGGGATTTGGGGAGGAAGAACATGAAGGTAAAATGTCATTCTCATTACACCATATTAATGGTGCATACCGTCAACATGTTTTATCACAATTGATCCTAACTGTGATCACCTTACTGAGTTAATGTCCTTTTCTCTTTTTCCATAACTGGAAGAAAGTCACTATTTAGAGTCCAAGCTTGAGAAGTGAGAAGTTATGTCCCCTAAGCTTGAGGACAGAGAATCTATGTACATTATTTGCATTTTTTTTTTTTTGGTGCAGAAGTTTTTGTTTCTTCCCTCTTATCAATGCATGCATTCATTCATTCATTTATTCAATCCTTTATTTCAAAATGGACTCATGAATCTTTATTTTACTCTTTGGATTATAATAAAATATTGCTTTAATGGCCATTCGGAGCTCTTGAGAATGATTCCTGTTTCCTGTTGACATACTCCCATTAATGAGGGGTTTGTTTTGTGCATTTTTTTTTAGTACTTTCTTACTTTCTGGCACCATAAGACAATCTATTTTCATCTTTAATATTTCTTGCCCCAATGTTAGAATCAGCCACTTTTCCAAGAAACCCTGGTTCCATTTATGTAGAATGGTCAAAGTAATGAAGATCCAGATGCATTAAATATGACTGAGGCATTCATTCCAGGCTTTTTTAACAAACAGAGCAAGAAGAAACGTGTGTGAATTGACACATGTATATACATGTATCTGTATATATTTCTATATGTAACCATATATATATATATATAATTAATTATGAGTTCATACTAGTGTCCTCAATTTTCATCCATTTCCACAAGGATCATTCTGGGCCTCCCTTATCCATCTGTAACCTTCCAGTCCAACACTGAGAAACTTGTCTCCCATTATTCAATAAAAATTTGCTTAATTACTCAAGTCAGTATACATAAAGAGAGGTTTCAGAATTGTTTGCCTGTAGTCCATGGGAAAGAATTTTATTAGCTAAAATACAATACTGATTTATAGTTTTTTTGCCTTTAGTTTTAATAGTTATACATATTTCCAAAATTACATGTCAATACTCCCTGCAACAGTGAATTTATTCTATGTATTTATAATGCAGTTAGAATCTTTGTTATAGTAGGATTCTTTCCTGACATCCTCTGAACATCTAATTATTTTTTTTCCAATTTGCACACACTGAGATCTTTGTGATGTAAATTTCTATGGGTTTTGATACAAGTCTTATGTATCCATAATTACACTATCATATGGAAATGGTTGATTTGTCCTAAAATTTCCCGTGTATTTCACCTATTTAACCCATTCACTGCTGCTTTAATTTATGTTAATCACTGATCTCTATAAGACCCTATAGAGTCTCTATAAGTGTGCCTATTCCAGAGAAATGGAATGTAGCCTTTTCTGATTGGATTCTTTCCCTTTTCAACACACATTTAAGATCCATACATGCCTTTGCATGGCTTGATAGCACACTTCTATATTGCTGAATAGCATTCCATTGTATGATGCACCACAGTTTGTTTATCCATTCACCTATGGAAAGATATCTTGATTGCTTCCAGTTTGGGGTACCTGCAAATAAAGATGGTATAAACATTCATGTGCAGGTTTCTGTGTGGACATAAGTTTTCAGATCATTTCGGTAAATGTCAAGGAGCACATTTGCTGAACTGTTTGATAAGACATGTTTAGCTTTGTAAAAAATCGCCAAACTCTCTTCGAAGGTGGTTGTACCACTTGACATTCTGATTAACAATGAATGAGAATTCCCATTGCATAGTATCTTTAAGAACATTTGGGAATGTCAGTATTTTTTTTAATTTTGTAATTCTAGTAGAACTTTCATGGTATCTCGTTTTAATTTGTACTGCCCTAATGACATATAACATTGAGAATGTTTTCATATGCTTATTTTTCATCTGTATATCTTATTTGGCAAGGTGTCTGCTCAGGTTCATCCCTTTTTCATTTTTCTTAATTAGGTTGTTGCCTTTGTATTGAATTCAAGGAGGTTTTATATATTTTTACACAAAACCCTTTATAACTAAAAAGATTTATCATATGTGTCTTTTGCAAATATTTCTCCCAGTCCGTGGCAATTCTCTAAATCCTCTTTACAGTTTCCTTAGCAGAACCTAAAGTTTTAAATTTAATAGAAACCAATCTACACATTTCTCTTACATGAGTCATACTTTAGTTGTTCTGTCATCACCCAGTCATTACCAAAGTTGGGTAGATTTTCTCCTATGCTTTTGACATTTAAGTCTATAATACATTTTTATTTTAATTTTATTAAAGGTTTGAAGTCTTGTCTGGGTTTTTTGTTTGTTTGTTTGTTGTTTCTTTTTGTTGTTGTTGTTGTTTTTTGGCATATGGATGTCCAATTGTTACAGCACCATTTATTAAGGAGGGCTATCCTTTCTGTATTGAACTGCCTTTGTGCCATTGTAAAAAATCAATTTACTGTATTTGTGTAGGTCTATTTCTGAATTATCTATTCTGTTTCATTGATCTATGTGTCTATTCTTTAACTAATTCTAACCTTACTTGAATTACTGTAGCTTTATAGTAACTCCTTAAGTCATGTATTTTTAAGTTCTCAAATTTCCTTTTTCTTCGATATTAGGTTGGCTATTCTAAATCTTTGCCTTCCATCCAAATTTTAGTATTAATTTGCTAGTTTCTACAAAACAGCTTCCCGAGTTTTGAGTTGGCAATGCATTGAATCTATAGATCAACTTGGAAAGAATTAACATCTTAAACATATTGAGTCTTCCAGTTAATGATTATGACACATCTTTCCATTTATTTATAACTTCTTTTATTGTTTTCATCAGTGTTTTATAATTTTCTTCATAGAGATACAGTATATGTGTTGTTAGACTAACACCCAAGTATTTATTTCTTGTTTTTGTCTTTGATTGGAGTACAGCTGTAAATCATATTATATTTAATTTCAAATATCATGTGCTCATTGCTGGTGAATAGGAAGTCTATTAACTTTCATATATTGACCTTGTATCCCCCCACCTTGCTATATATTTTTTTCTTTATTTCATTTTATTTTTTATTTTTTAAGTAGAGACAGGGTCTCGCTATGTTACCCCAGGCTGGTCTTGAACTCCTGGCCTCAAGCTATCCATTAACAGATACTTCTTTTGAGAAGTGTCTGCTCATGTCTCAACCTCCCAACATGTAGGGATTATAGCAGTGAGCTACTATGCCCCACCAATCTCACTATGTTTATCTACCAATTTCAGGAGTTGTTATGTAGATTCTTTAGTATTTTCTACATAGTCATATTTTTCAATAAACTTGTCTTTAGACCTGTGTTATCAAATTTGTGCACATAAATTTATTTGTAGTCATCATAACTACTCTTTAAATGTCCATGTGAACAATAGTAATGTCCTCTTTTTCATTTATAATCTTGGTAGTTTGCATCTTCTCCTTATAATTTTGGTTAGTCTGGCTAGAGGTTTACTAATTTTATTAATCTTAAAAACCAGCTTTAGTTTTCATTGCTTTATTCCTATTGTTGGCCTATTTTCAATTTCTATTTCTGTTCTAAATTTTATTGTTTCTTCTGCTTGCATTTACCTTAAATTACTCTTATTCCTGTAATTTACAAAGGTGAAAACTTGATTACAGATTTTTTTTTCAACTTTTATTTTAGAGTCAGGGGTACATGTGCAGGTTTGTTACACAGGTATATTGTGTGATGCTGCAGTTTGGGGTACAAATTATCCTGAGCATAGTACCCAACAATTAGCTTTCCAACCCTTGTCCTCCTCCCTCCCTTACCCCTTTAGTAGCCCCTAGGTTCTATTGTTGCATCTTTATGTTCATGAGTACCCCATATCTCTTTCCCACTTATAAGTGAGAGCATGTGGTATGTGTTTTTCTGTTTCTGCATTAATTTGTTTAGGATAATGGCCTCCAGCTCCATCCACGTTGCTGCAAGGTCATGATTTCATTATTTTTTATTGCTGCATAATATTCCATGGTATATATGCATCACATTTTCTTTATCGAGTTCACTGTTTGTGGGCACCTAGGTTGATTCCATGACTTTGCTCTTGTGAATTATGCTGTGATGAACATGCGAGTGCATGTATCTTTTTGGTAGAAGAATTTGTTTTCTTTTGGATATAAACCTAGTAATGCGGTTGGTGGGTCAAATAGTAGTTCTGTTTCATGTTCTCTGAGAAATATCCACACTGCTTTCCATAGTGGCTGAACTAATTTACATTCCCACCAACAGTGTACAAGTGTTCCCTTTTGTCTGCAGCATCTGTTATTCTTTGACTTTTTGATAATAGCCATTCTGACTTGTGTGGAGATAGTATCTCATTGTGGTTTTAATTTGCATTTCTCTGTTTCTCTGATGATCAGTGATAATACGCATTTTAATATGCTTGTTGGCTGCTTGTATCTTCTTTTGAGAAGTGTCTGTTCATGTCTTTTGCCTATTTTTTAGTGGGGTTATTTGTTTTTTGCTTGTTCAATTGTTGAAGTTCCTTGTAAATTCTGGATATTACACATTTGTCAGATGCATAGTTTGCAAATATTTTTCCCTGTTCTGTAGGTTGTCTGTTTACTCTTTTAATAGTATTTTTTGTTGTTGTTGTTGTTGTCTGTAGTGGAGGTGGTTTTTTTTTTCTTTTCTTTTTTTTTCTTTCTGTGCGCTAGCTTATTAGTTTAATGGTCAGTTTTTTGTTTTTGTTGCGATTGCCTTTGAGAACTTACTAATAAATTATTTCCCAAGTTCCATGTCCAGAATAGTGTTTCTTGGATTTTCTTCTAGGATTATTGTAGTTTGAAGTCATATATTTATATCTTTAATCCATCTTTAGTTAATTTTTGTATATGGTGAAAAGGTAGGGGTCCAATTTCATTCTGCACAGGCTCACTAGCTATCTCAGCACCATTTTTTGAATAGGAAGTCCTACCCTATGGCTTATTTTTGTTGACCTTGTCAGAGATTAGATGTCTGTGAATGTGTGGGTTTATTTCTGGGTTCTACATTTTGTTTCATTTGTCTATGTGTCTATTTTGTACAAGTACAATTCTGTTTTTGTTACCTAGTTTTATAGTTTGTTTGAAGTTGGGGAATGTTGTGCCTCTGGTTTTGTTGTTTTTTGCTAAGGATTGCTTTGGCTATTCAGGCCTTTTTTGTTCCATATGAATTTCAGAATAGTTGTTTTTTTGTTTATTTTTGTTTTTTTTTTTTTGTTTCCAATTCTGTTTTGGTTACCTAGCCTTATAGTTTGTTTGAAATTGGAGAATGTGATGCTTCTGGTTTTGTTGTCTTTTGCTAATGATTGCTTTGGCTATTCAGGCCTTTTTTGTTTCGTATGAATTTCAGAATAGTTTTTTTTTTTTTTTTCAATTCTGGGAAAAACAATGTTAGTGGTTTGATAGGAATAGCACTGAATCTGTAGATGGCTTTGGGCAGTTTAGCCATTTAACAACATTGATTCTTCCAATACATGAGCATGGAATGCTTTTTCATTTGTTTGTGTCATGTATGATTTCCTTTACCAGGGTTTTGTAGTTCTCCTTATAGAGATTTTTTTGCCTTCTTGGTTAGATGTATTCCCACACATTTTATTTTTGTGAGTGGCTATTGTAAATGGGTTTATGTTCTTGATTTGGCTGTCAGCTTGAATGCTCTTGGTATATAGAAATGCTACTGATTTTTGTATCTTATATCTGAAACTTTGCTCAAGTCATTGATCACTTCCAGGAGTCTTTTTGTGGAGTCGTTAGGGGTTTCTACATATAGAATCTTATCATCCACTAGAGGAGATACTTTGCTTTTTTTTCTTTTCCTGTTTGAATGCCTTTTGTTTCTTTATCTTGCCTGATTGCTCTGGCTAGCACTTCCAGTACTATGTTGAATTGAAGTGGTGAGAGTGACATTCTTGTCTTGTTCCAGTTCTCAAGGGGAATGTTTCCAGTTTTTGTCCATTCAGTATGATTTTGGCTTTGGCTTTCTCAGAGGTGGCTATAATTTTGAGGTTTGTTCCTTCACTATTTAGTTTCTTGAGTTTTTTTTTTTTTTTTATCATGAAGGGATATTGAATTTCATCAAAAGCTTTTTTCACATCTATTGAGATAATCACATGGTTTTTGTTTTAATTCTACGTATGTGTTGAATTACATTTATTGATTCGTGTATGTTGAACCAATCTTGCATCTGAGGAATGAAGACTACTGGATCACGGTGAATTAAATTTTTGATGTACTATTGAATTCAGGTTGTTAATATTTTGTTGAGGATATCTGTGTCTACGTTCATCAGGGATATCTGCATGTAGTTTTCTTCTTTCACTGTGTCTTTGCTAAGTTTTGTTATCAGGGTAATGTTGGCCACATAAAACAAATTAGGGAGGACTCCTACCTCCTCAATTTTTTGGAACAGTTTCAGTCGAAGGATTACCAGGTCTTCTATGTATGTCTGGTACAATTCAAGTGTCACTCCCTCTGTTACAAATATTTTTTGTTAGGTTCTTTATTACGGATTTAGTTTTGAAACTTGATATTAGTCTGTTTGGTGTTTCAGTTTCTTCCTGCTTCAATCTTGGAAGACTGTGTGTTTTAGGGATTTATTCACTACTTCTAGAATTTCTAGTTTTTATAAATAGGGGTTGCCATAACAGTGTCTGAGGATCATTTGTATTTCTGTAGGATCAGTTATAATGTCTCCTTTGTCATTTATGGCCAATTGTGATTATTTGGATCTTCTCCCTCTTTTTTTTTTTTTTTTGTTAATCTAGCTAAGTGTCTATTGATCTTAGTTATCCTTCTATAGAACTAACTTTTGTGAATGTGCTCCCAGCCTTCAATGTAAGAATGCCATTTCTCTAAAATTTCTAACTTCTCAAAAAACAAACAACAACAACAACAACAAAAAACTAACTTTTGGTTTCATTGATTCTTGGGTTATAGATTTTAGATCTTTCCTTTTTTTCTAATATAATCTTTAGTGCAATAAATTTCCCTCTAAGTGGTGCTTTTGCCATACTTCACAATTGTTCAAAAGGTATATTGCAAATAGTTTCTAAGATCTCTTAAGATAACTAATTTGAATTATGTATTATTTAGAAGTATCTTGTTTAATTTCTAAATTTGGAAGTTTTTTTCAACGACATTTCTATTACTGATTTTTAGTTTAGTACCATTTGGTCTGAAAACATATTTTTATGCTTCATATTCTTTTTAATTAAATTTTGTTTTACAAACCACATTGTTGATATCCTGTGTTCCATGTAAGCTTGAAAAGAATGTGTGTTTTTTGTTGTTGAATACAGTATTCTACAAATGTAAATTAGAACAAGTCGATTGCTAATGCTGTTCATGTGATTTATATGCTTACTATTTTTTGCTATTATTGATCTATTAATTATTTTCAGAGGGATGTTGAAATCTTCACCTATAAAGGTAGATTTATCTAATTTACCTTTCAGTCTTATGTTGTTTTACTCATATATTTGATGCTCTGTTACAAGTGCATCTAAATTATTGCTTGTTGTATCATCTTGGAGAATTGATTCTTTTATCATTATGTAATGCCTCCTCTTATCCCAAGCAGTTTTCCTCGTTCAGAAGTCTGCTTTGTCTTAACCTAATATAGCTACTCCTGCTTACTGTTATTAATGTTAGCATGATATATCTCTTTTGTTTTTTATATTTGCTTTTAACTTATTAGTATCATTATATTTAAAATGTGTTTCTTACAGATAAGATATACTTAGGTGTAATTTTTAATCCATTCCAACCATCTTTTAATTAATGTATTGAGACAACTCATATTTAACAGTGATTATTTGTAAAAATTTTATTAATAGCTTCCATGTTTGCAACTGATTTCTACTGGTGGCTTTCATTCTTCTTTTTTCTTTATTCCCCTGACTTTCTTCCCTTATCTTGTTTTCATTTATAATGTAATGATATTCATTTTAGCTCTTCTTTTAGCATCTTAATTATATTTTAAAAATATTGTTTTTCATGGTCAACCCAAAGTTTTCAATATATATTTTAACTAATCCCCATCAACTGTCAGTTGACACCATATATTACATGTACTACAACTAGCTTTAACAGTGTATTCCCAATTATTTCTTAAAGTAACTTGTGTCATTGCTATTATTCATTTGATTTATCTGTAGGCTACAATTAAATACTTTCTTGCTAACATTCATTTAAACAAACAGTTATTTAGATCAATTAAAACTAAAATAAATAAAAGTTTACATTTTTCCTTTATGTATTTTTTTTCAAATCTCTTCATTTCTCTATGTAGAATCAAGTTTGTGACCTATATAATCTTCTGTATGCCTGAAGCTTGTTTAATATTTCCTGCAAGACAGGTGTACTGGTGATAATTTCCCTCAGTTTTCATTTATCTGAGAAAATCTTTATTTGTTCTTCATTTTGAAGGATAATTTTGGCTGATGTGGAATTCTAGATTGGCCATGTTTTTCTTTCACCTCTTTAAATGCTTCACTATATACTATACCTACTCCTCTCATTTCTGATGAAAAGGTCACTGTAATTCTTATTCTTATGCCTCCACAAGTAAGGTAATCTGTTTTGTTCTGTCCTTCCCTCTGATTTCTTTAAGATTTTTTGTTGTCTTTGGTTTTCTGCAGTTTGAATGTGGTGTGTGTGTGTGTGTGTGTGTGTGTGTGTGTGTTAATTATTCATCTCAGCCTTCTGAATCTGTGTTTATTGTCTGTTATTCACTTGGGAAAGGTTTGCCTATTATTACTTCACATATTTTTTCTGCTTCATTATCTCTCTCTTTTTCTGGTATTACAATTACAAATACATTACATATCTTGAAATTATCCTACAGTTCTTAGATGTTCTGTTTAGTTTTTTCTCTTTGCATTTTATTTTTTGAAGTTTCTATAAACCTATGTTCAAACTCACTACTTTTTCCTCAAGTGTATCCAGTCTACTGGTAAGTTCACCAAAGTCATTTTTTATTCCTGTTACAGTACTTAATTTCTATCACTTCATTTAGATTTCTTCTTATAGTCTGCATATGTCTCCTTAACCATCTGTTCTTTCATGTTGTATGTTTTTTCCATTATATCCCTAAGTGTATTAATCATAGTTATTTCAAATTCACCGTTTAAAGATTTCAACATCATTGTCATATCTGAATCTGAATATGGTGGCTTTAGCTCTTCAGACAGAGGAGATTTTGTTTCTTTATTTTGCCTTTCCATTTTTTTGTAGTTTTATTTTGTTGTTGTTGAAATCCTCAAAGTTTATCCCAGTAATAGAAACTCAAATAACCTAAAACTTTCTTGCTAACATTTCTGTAAACAAATAGTTATTATTTAGATTAAAAATAAGAAAAATAAAAGATTACATATTGTCTTTACGTATTTTTTCTTCAATTGTCTTTTTTTTCTACAATTCCTTTTTTTCTTTATGTAGAATCAAGTTTTGGGCATTTAGGTGCTATAATAACAGACAAAAAGTGATATTAATAATAGACAAAAACTTTACAAAGTGAGTAACAGGCAGATTAATAAAATACAAATCCAGAAGGCTGAGATGAATAACACTCTTTTACACATGCATACATACACACACATACACATACACACACACACAAAATTAGGTTTAGGTGTTTAGTGTGGGAATTTGTGTTAGTATGACTAAAAATTGACTATCTTTAATGTTTGTTGTAGCTATATGTGCCATTTTCTTCAAATTCCTCTAGTGTCCTTGTTTCTGTTCTCTCTTGACCTTAATCTTACTTAAGTACTTTTCTTGCAGGCTGTATCTACATCGCTTTCAGCTGTAACCCACTGTTATAGTAGATACTCAATGGCATGATAGTAAGGTGTGAGGAAGAAAAAAAGTTCTACAATGGTAAGGTTAAATTTACTCTCTTAATGGTCTGTGTCTCTAGGCTGTGACCTTTGCAAGCATCTTTTAATTTCTTCCCTTGGTTGCAGCATTCCCAATCCATTTTGCTGAAGCCCTGACCCCTGTTGATTATGTATACTCTTCTCCCCTTAGGGAAACCATGAAAGTCAGAAAGGACTGAAGTGGGAGAAATGATCTGCCAGCTGAGATAAATCTCAGGAAACACGTTTCTCCTTGGAGAGTAGGCCTTTTATTAGAGAAAAATCTCTGAAAACTAATGATTACTGACTGATCCCCTTCTCCTGCCAGAGCCATGAGGACATCTTTCTCAAATCTTCACCTTGGGAGCAAGGTGTGGTTACTGGAGGAAGACCCCACAAAAATGTGCACCCCCTTGTGAGGCAGGTTCACATTCACTTTGTAGTGGTTGCCAACTTGTCTGAGTGTGGTGAGACTGAACACACTCACATGCAACAAGTTACTTGAAGTAAATTTATTTTTCACATGCAACAAGTTACTTGAAGTAAATTTATTTTTGACAAATAGACATCAAGAGACAACAAAAACCTAGGATCATTGAAAACCAGTTTTCCCAAGGCTTAGAAAGCTGCCTGGGGCAGACAGGGTCTCCATGGCATGTGCCCCATTTATACCACAGATGGGAAACCCCAAAAAAGCCCTGGTACATACTGTTCCTTTTTTTAGATTTTAATTTCATTTTATTTCTTCCTAATGAAATTTATTTAACAATTCCTTTAGTGTGGGCCTGTTGAGAAGAAATTATTTGTTTTTGTATAGCCACGTAAGTCTTTATTCTGTCCTCCTTTTTGAAATATATTTTTATTCCATATAGAATTCTATGTAGTCTTTTTTCTCCTTTTAGTACCCTAAAAGAATGTATTTTCTTGCTTGATTGTTTACAATGAGCAATCTACTATCAATCTTATCTTTTTCTTCTCCTTGTATGTAATGTGTCTTTTTTCTGTCTGTCTTTAAGATTTTTCCTTTATCATTGGTTTTGAATGATTTGAGGATAATGTGCTTAAGTGTCATTTTATTCAGGATTTTTGTACTTGAGCTTTGCTGAACATCCTAGATTTGTGGATTTATAGTACTTTCATATTTGAAAAACAGTCATTATTTCTTCATATTTTTTCTGGCCTCCTTTTGGAGACTTCAATTACATGTATATTATTAGCACTTATATAGTTGTTTCATAGCTCACTGTTTCTCTTTGTTATTTTTATTTTATGTTGTACTTTTAATAATTCCTATGTCTTCAAATTAGCTAATGTTTTCTTTTTGCAATGTTTAAACTGATGTTAATTTAATCTAGTGTATATTTCCTCGCATATATTGTACTTTCATCCCTAGAAGTTATATTTGCATCTTTTTACAGTGTATGCTTCTACAGAACTCTGAAAATAAGAAAAATTTTAATGTCCTACTAGTACCTTTGACAATTCAGGATCAGTTTTGTTTTTTTTTTTTTTTCAATTTCCATAGGTTGTTGGGGAACAGGTGGTGTTTGGTTACATGAGTAAGTTCTTTAGTGGGGATTTGTGAGATTTTGGTGCACCCGTCACTTAAGCAGTATACATAGCACCCTATTTGTAATCTTTCATCTGTCACCCCCTTTCCATTCTTTCTCCCTGAGACCTCAAAGTCCATTGTGTCAGTCTTATGCCTTTGCATCCTCATAGCTTAGCTCCCACTTATAAGTGAGAACATACGATGTTTGGTTTTCCATTCCTGAGTTACTTCACTTGACTGACTTTTTTTTCCTATTCATGGATTCATTTTATCAGCATTTGTGCATGTCTTGTAACATTTTATTGGATGACAGGCATTGTAAATTTTACAAATTGGGTGCAAATATTTATATTCCTGTAAATATTGTTCAGTGTTGTTTTGTGGTGTAGTTACGTTACTTGGTGATACTCTAATCCCTTCATGAAAACATGAATGGTTGATATGGTTCGGCTGTGTCCCCAACCAAATCTCATCAGGAATTCCCACATGTTGTGTGAGGAACCCGGTGGAAGGTAATTGAATCATGCGGACAGGTCTTTCCCATGCTGTACTCATGATAGCTAATAAGTCTCATGAGATCTCATGGTATTATAAGGGAGAGTTTCCCTGCACAAGCGCTCTCTTTTTCCTGCTGCCATCCATGTAAGATGTGACTTGCTCTTCCTTGCCTTCCACCATGATTGCATGGCCTCCTCAGTGATTTGGAACGGTGAGTCCAATTAAACCTCTTTGTTTTGCAAATTGCCCAGTTTTGGGTATGTATTTCTTAGCAGCATGAAAACGAAATAATACAGTAAATTGGTAACAGTAGAGTGGGGTGTTGCTGACAAGATACCTGAAAATATGGAAGCAACTTTGGAACTGGGTAACAGGCAGAAATGGGAGCACTTCAGAGGGCTCAGAAGAAGAAAGGAAAATGTGGGAAAATTTGGAACTTCCTAGAGACTTATTGAATGGCTTTGACAAAAATGATGATAGTGATATGAACTTGTTGGGAATTGGAGCAAAGGTGACTCTTGCTATATTTTAGCAAAGAGACTGGTGGCATTTTGCCTCTGCCTGGAGATTTGTGGAATTTTGCACTTGAGAGAGATGATTTGGGGAATCTGGTGGAAGAAATTTCTAAGCAGCAAAGCATTCAAGAGGTCACTTGGGTTCTGTTAAAGGCATTCAGTTTTATAAGGGAAGGAGAGCATAAAAGTTCAGAAAATTTGCAGCCTCACTATTGTGAGAGAAAAGAAAATCCCATTTTCTGAGAAGAAATTCAAGTTCCCTGCAGAAATTTGCATAAGTAACAAGAACCTGAATGTTAATCCCCAAGACAATGGGGTAAATGTCTCCAAGATATGACAGCAATCTTCCTGGAAGCCCCTCCCATCACAGGCCTGGAGGCCTAGGAGGAAAACATGGTTTCGTGGGCCGGGCCCAGAGTCCCCATGCTATGTGCAGTGTCAGGACTTGGTGCCCTGTGTCCCAGCTGCTTAAGCCTTGACTAAAAGGGGCCAAGGTGCAGCTCAGGCTGTGGCTTCAGACAGTGCAAGCCCCAAGCTTTGGCAGCTTCCAAGTGGTGTTGAGCCTTCAGGTGCACAGAAGTCAAGAATTGAGGTTTGGGAACCTCCGCCTAGATTTCAGAGGATGTATGGAAATGCCTGGATGTTCAGGCAGACATTTACTGCAGAGGTGGGGCTCTCATGGAGAATCTCTGCTAGGGCATATGGAAAGAAAATGTGGGGTCAGAGTCCCCACACAGAGTCCCTACTTGGGCACCCCCTAGTGGAGCTGTGAGAAGAGGGCCACCGTTCTCCAGACTCCAGAATGGTAGATCCACTGACAGCTTGCACCTTTTGCCTAGAAAAGCTGCAGACACTCACTGTCAGCCAGTGAAAGCAGCTGGGAGGGAGGCTGTAACCTGCAAAGTCACAAGGGCAGAGCTGCCCAAGACCATGGAAACCCACCTCTTGTATGAGTATGACCTGAATGTGAGACATGGAGTAAAGGAGATCATTTTGAAGCTTTAAGATTTGACTGCCCTGCTTGATTTCAGACTTGCATGGGGCCTGTAGCCCCTTTGTTTTGGCCAATTTCTCTTATTTAGAACAGCTATATTTACCAAATGCCTCTACCCCCATTGTATCTATGAATTAACTAACTTGCTTTTGATTTTACAGGCTCATAGGTGGAGGGGAAGTTGCATTTTCTCAGATGAGACTTTGGACTGTAGAATTTTGAGTTAATGCTGAAATGAGTTAAGACATTGGGGGACTGCTTGGAAGGTGCGATTGGTTTTGAAATGTGAGGACATGAGATTTGGGAGGTGCCAGGGGTGGAATGATATAGTTTGGCTGTGTTCTCATCCAAATCTCATCTTGAATTCCCACATATTGTGGGAGGAACACAGTGGAAGGTAATTGAATTATGAGGGCAGGTCTTTCCCTGTTGGTCTTGTGATAGGGAATGAGACTCATGAGATCACACTGTATTACAAGGGGTAGTTTCCCTGCACAAGCTCTCTCTTTTTGTCTGCTGCCATCCATGTAAGATGTGACTTGCTCCTCCTTGCCTTCCACCATGATTGCGAGGCCTCCTCAGCCACATGGAACTGTGAGTCCAATTTAACCTCCTTCTATTGTAAGTTGCCCAGTTTCATGTATATTTGTATCAGTAGCATGAAAATGGACTAATATAATAGTCTTTTAAGGTTCATCAGTGTTAGGTTAGTGTTTAGTATAGGGTTAAATATTTCCTAGTACTGAATCAAGATGTTTCTGTGTACTCCATACTTGCTCCAGGAATTTTGAGATATTCCACCCTGCCTGGTGGGAATAGGCACTATTTCCTCCCCTTTGTCAGTGTCAGACTCTGTTTTCCTAAATTTTTCAGATAGTTATTTCCTTGGCCTTGGGTAGTTCCATCAATGTACTCACTAATTAGCATTCTTCTAATCACTCGAGAGGACCCCTCTGTAGATTTCTGGAATTCCTTCTCTGCAAAGCTATCTACCCTCTGGTGCTATGTCTTTCTTTATTTGTTTGTGCATTCATTTGTTTTTTTGTTTTT
The DNA here is from genome assembly GCF_000001405.40 of Homo sapiens. Classification (NCBI taxonomy): domain Eukaryota; kingdom Metazoa; phylum Chordata; class Mammalia; order Primates; family Hominidae; genus Homo; species Homo sapiens. The sequence goes on along the minus strand of NC_000006.12, from coordinate 94,603,271 downwards.
GTTTTTGTTTTTTTTTTTTGCCACTTAGATATCTCTGAACTAATTGAAACTGTGGATTATTGGCTTTTATAACTTTCTGAATACTCTCAGACATTACTTCAAATATTTCTTCTGACCTATTTTATTCTTCTATCTTTCTAAGATTCTAATCACAGATATTAGATTGATATTCTGCTATATTGTCTGGATGATTATGATAATGACTAGTGATGATTTTTACTCTTTGATTTCTCCTTGGGTTTCAGTTTGGATAATATCTATGGACCTGTCTTCAAATTCAGTGATTCACTTTTCAGCTGCATTGTTACTGCTTGTAATCTGTAAAAGGAATTTCTCATACACATCTTCTGTATTGTTCCTGTCACTCCATTCTTTACCATATTAAGTTATTTTAACCTTCCTGTATGATAGTTGCAATATGTGAGTCATAAATATTATATTTAAAATGAATATTATATATTTAGTATTCCTAGTATATCTTATCTGAAAAATTATATAAACAACCCAGTGTCTTATGAGCTCTTTATGTTCTAAAATAGCACTGTCCGATAGAGTTTCTGCAACAACGAAAATGTTTAGCTTGGTAGCAACTAGCCACTTGCAGCTAGACAGTGTGTAAGTAGCTAGTGAGACTAAGGAACTGAATTATAAATTTTGCATAATTTTTAATAAATTTATGTAGCCATATATTGCTGATGGCTACCAGAATTGTACCAGTACAATTCTAGGTTTTATCAAATCTTAGGACAGTCTTATTATTTTTGATTTAAAAAACACTATAATTTAACACAAATTACTCCCCCATACACTAGGATACATACAATAAAAATGCTATACAATTCTTAATAAATCTATCAGGTGAAAGGTCACATACAGATGTATGTACAACTTAGAGTTTACCAATCACAGCCAATAATTTTTCATGTGCCTAACTAAAAACATTAATGACTACCAACAAACTGTTTATTCTGAATCAATAAAGGTAGATTGGTAAAAAAATATTCAGATAATCAAGTACTTTAGTTACCTATATTTTTATGAAATAAGTCCCTGAAGGATTATGGGGCTTCTTCCATATAATAAAATACGTACAAATTTAACAAAATATGAAAATTTGAAAAAAGAGAAAAACCTATTTTACCACTACATTCAATTTTGACGTATTTGTAAATAATGTCATTCTCCAGTACAAAGAGATCAAAATTGGGAATTAGAAATGGGCATCTTGGCCGGGCGCGGTGGCTCACGCCTGTAATCCCAGCACTTTGGGAGGCCGAGGCGGGTGGATCATGAGGTCAGGAGATCGAGACCATCCTGGCTAACAAGGTGAAACCCCGTCTCTACTAAAAATACAAAAAATTAGCCGGGCGCGGTGGGGGGCGCCTGTAGTCCCAGCTACTCGGGAGGCTGAGGCAGGAGAATGGCGTGAACCCGGGAAGCGGAGCTTGCAGTGAGCCGAGATTGCGCCACTGCAGTCCGCAGTCCGGCCTGGGCGACAGAGCGAGACTCCGTCTCAAAAAAAGAAAAAAAAAAAAAAAAAAAAAAAAAAAAAGAAATGGGCATCTTGGCTTATTCTATACCTCTCTTGACATCAACTCTTGAATGGCATTTTCCTCTTGTGTAAATTGGAGACAATGATTTACCTCATGCCATTGCTAAGAGTAAAATGAGTTATGAATATTTCAATGATTATGACTCCTTTTTGTTTTGTTTTGGTCAGAACAATCCCCAGGAATCTGACATTACAACTCAATATAAATATTGACAACACTGAGGCCGGGCGCTGTGGCTCACACCTGTAATCCCAACACTTTGGGAGGCTAAGGCAGATTACGAGGTCAGGAGTTTGAGGCCAGCCTGGCCAATATGGAGAAACCCCATCTCTACTAAAACTACAAAAATTAGCTGGGTGTGGTGGCGGGCGCCTGTAATCCCAGCTACTAGGGAGGCTGAGGCAGGAGAATTGCTTGAATCCGGGAGGCAGAGGTTGCAGTGAGCTGCACACCAGCCTAGGTTACAGAGCAAGACTCTGTCTTGAAAAAAAAGTATTGACAACATTGAATATTTACTTTTATTTGTGTATATTATGTGCATAGTACAAAATATTACATATGCCTTTTAATTACAAAAGCTCACATCTATATGACATTACCTCTAACATTGGTGACCAAGTCTCATTTAAGTTGCTTCTCTTATTAATCATTTATAGCCAGAAAATGTAGGATATGTGATAGTAAGATGCAATTCAGATCTTCATGAACTGAATCTATTTGTCAGTTTGCAGATTTGTCCCATTCACCCCCTACTGTTCCCCTGCATTATTTCAACTAGATGAGATGGTGTACAAACTACTGATAATTTAGCAAGCTGATAATGGATGCATACCATTTTAACATTACAGCAGGGAGTCCTTGCCTTGCCTTTTCAGTTCACAGCGTTGTTGCACAATGTAACACCAATTAACACTTAAGTGATAGAGTTTCAGTTTCTAGGTAAAATCTGAAAATCTTTCTTTCATGCCTCTGTACTGGAGCCTGCATAGTTATGATATTTAATCAGCTGAAAGCCCAGGGCATGCACTTGTAGTTGTGTTATTATTTATAATTGAATGCAGCACTGCTGCTGTGGCAAACCTTACTGGCATCATTTGTGTAAGGTTTAATGGTTTCTGTTACTGCTCCTAGCTCCTCACTCACCAGGCTATTCTGCTATAATGTGGCAGAGTATTTTAAAAGACTTGTTTGTGACTGAAGTCAATGGAGGGGAGGAGAAACAGTAGTGAAAGCTGACACAGAATAATTAATTTCCAAAATAAGCATAATTCTCCAATCCTAATTTTCAACCAATATGATATTATGGCTCAGAAACGATAAAAGTAATAAACCAAATATCTGCTTTGAAGTTTAAAGAGTTTTTAACATCTCATCTAATCACACACACACACACACACACACACACACACATACACACACACACAAATATGCAAATGCAGAAAGTAAGATTTTACAAATCATATTCTGGACAGCTGGTTTTTGAAACTCATATGTGCTAAATTCTTGACTATAGCCACAACAGTGACTATAACTGGATACACACACATGCATACACACACACAAATATGGGAATGCAGAAAGTAATGTTTTATAAATCGTATTCCAGAAAGCTGGTTTTTGAAACTCGTATGTGCTAAGTTCTTGACTATAGCCACAACAGTGACTGTAACTGGACTGCTTCTAGCATGGAGATTGGCATTACTCTTATGACAATGTGTATTTTGTATGACAATAGTATTACAATATAATAGTATCCCAAATAGAGCTGCACAAGTTTCCCTCAATCATTGCACATCAAGTACTTACACAATTATATCTTTATGGGAACACTATAATTTTTATTAGACAAAAATAATGGGCTACGACTGAGGTAAATTTCACAATTATAATATAATAACTGCATGTGTTTTGTCACTTCTTCCAGTATCTTTTCCTCTAATTTTCATTCTCACATTCTCATTCTGTTTTCCAAATGTGCATCTGATTGTCATTTATTTATTGATTTTTCCAACAACACGCACTTCACTAAGCTATAACCAATATTTTGAGGATGATGCTTTGAACAGGATAACTTGAAATTTATTTAAGCAAATTCCATAGCTAAAAATCCTGCCTCCATAGAGTTCACATTTCCCTGTAAATATCCTTTTGAGACATGCTATCATTCTCCTGTCCAACTTCATGCCAATGAAACAAAGACTCACTAAACTAGAACCAAAATGATTTCCCTACGTATTCCACGTGCGTGTCCTTGAGCTGGAAAAATCTACGGCCAAAAGAAAACCTAACCTTCTCTCTTTTCTGCTTGCTGACTTCTCCCTACGTTTCGACACTCAAAGCTACTGTAAGAGACTATGGTTTTTACTACTACACTAGTCCTTCTATGAAGGAAAAGCTGTTTCAAGAGCAGCTGCTGTTTGTACATCTGAGTAGTGATTTGGGAACTACAGCAATATAGCTGAGTTTGCTCCATCTGTAATTTTAAATACCACATAAACAGCAATAGTATAGTACAAACACCTATAGTATAGATGCGAGGATTAAATGATTTTGCACATGGAATAACCCATTCATGTTTCCTGGCATATTGCAGATACTTTTAAATATTAGTTTTTTTCTTTTATTACTTCTACCAGCTAGAGAACAACAGTACGTGATACTCTACATATTCTACCATATTTTATGATCTACAAATTAATGGCATTAGAAAGGAAATAATATTAGGAAATCACTGGATGGGGATTTAAATGATATGGAGTTGAAATTCAGATATGTTACAATTAGCAGACTTCCAGTTTCCACAATTCTCAGGGGTTAAGAGTAGATGAGCTAATAATTGAAGGATTATTTTATAATTTTAGAGAGAATTAATTGCAAAGTAGTTTACTCTTCTTAAAGCACTAAGAATTATATGATACAAATATTAGCTTTTAATTTATTTAAGCGATTAAATATATTTCCCTGTGAATTAATATGATATTAAATCTAATCTAAGATGTTTATAATTATATGCAGTGCTTTATCCCTACCTTCATCATGAAGGACGAATTAACAAGAAGCTAACTTTGTTTTCACTAACTTGAAATTTCAGGATGGGCATAAAAAATGAAATATATTTGAACTGAACTAAGTAATTATGACTAACTGATGTTATTTGTCATTATATGTGTGATTGACCAATAACTACTATCATTGTGTTTAAGTACGAGAGCCAATTACAGAATATAATTCTAAAAAGTAAAAGAAAAAAATGATATTGCGCATATTTGATTGGGTAAAGAAAGCTACATGTGGAGGCTTAAGTTCATTGGGGCAGATAAGTGCAATCATGCCTTATGCTCAATAAGTTGAGACCCGAAATTGCTTGGTGAACAGTATTAATAGTGACCACTTTATGATATTTTTAAAAATGTTTTCCAAAAGTTTTAACACAATTTATTTTCCACAGTAAAAAAATAATGTTAATAATGGCTGTCTTATATGCTTTGGGCTAGTTGCCTATTCTTAAAATTCTTTAGAATAATTTACATTATTTCATATAATACAATTCTGATCGTTTTGTAATATATTCATTTTGGGAATGTTATTTATTATTTAGATAATGTTTTAATTTAAAAAAATATTGTTTTATTAAGAAAATTACATAGTTATATCATTAAAAACTATTTCTATACATTTGTAAAGATTAAAGATTGTTCATGGTCTATTGTAATCTTACCATACTGATTTAATTAACCATGATTTACTTTTCTAACATTATTGACATTTTTCCTATCTTAAAAAAGAATAACTTTCTGTTATATGAGTCAAAATTCTACTCCAATTATTTAAATATACTTATTGACCGTGAGATGGTTAATGGCAATGGTTCTCAGCTGGTTTAGGGGAGAAGGTAGAATTTTTACCCCAAGGCACATTTGGTAAAATCTGCAGACATTTTTTTGTTATTTTAACTGGGGAGGGGTGCTACTTGTTTCTGATAAGGGCGAGGAGGGTTGCTAAATGTCCTGCAATACACAGAATGGCTTTGGGTTAAAAGATGAAGCAATAGATGTTGAAATATCCAGAGAACAACTACAAAGAAACAGTCACCATCTTGAGGGGCATGGAGGGAAAAGGGGGAAATAGATACTCATGTTCATTAAAGCTAGAATCTTGGATAAGTACTAGTGAAGTTATTGTCACAGAGGTATGCAATGATTGTCAGTGATAAATATGATAACATGCAGGGAGCAGGGAAGAAATATCTTAGTTTCTCTCCCCTCCTTTAAATTGCCCATGCTTTCATTATCCAAACCCAATCAAAGCTAGCTGTCAAGGGAGCCTTTGGTGCTCAGGGTTCTTGGGCTGAGAGCAACATAGAAAAGGGTGGAGAATGAAGCTAGAATGGTGGCAAATAGAGAAAAACAGCAGACCTATCTACTTTAGTTTCAGTTTTCATCATGCTATCTGGGTTGACTTGGTCTCCTTTAAAAAAATTGCAAAAAGGGAATTTTGATAAAATCGTTTTCCTTTTTATCTTCAGGATATTGTGTTCCCACCGATATACTAAAAAACAAATGAGAAATTTGAGAAATTCAAAACTTATATTAGAGCCTAATCTTCTCTTTCTTTTCATAAAAAATATTTTACATGAAAATTTCACAGTTCAAGATATTTGAAACAGTTGTTTCCATTCATATTTTTGTTTAATATATATTTCTCAGATAAAAATGTTCTCAACTAATGGCTTATAGCAATTAAACCTGTGTGGGAGCCTAAGTTTTGAGAAACTTGCAAAATGTTATTACCTTATGATCTAACTACATTAAAAATCTACATTATAGAGAGCCGATTTCAGTGTTTCTTTTTTACTCTTAAAACTGGACCCCTAACTGGGGATTAAATTAAAATAAGTCTTTTCATATATGGCTCCCACTGGAATTAAAATTACAATTTTAATATTGCTAGTTCTCATGGCCTGTCTTTGCAATTTTTCTATTATAGCTTCTAATTTTAGTATACACTATTAGTGTGTTTTGGATATAATGAGAAAAGGATGGCCAAAATGGAATAAGATTTAAAAGGTAAATCACATAGGTCAGATGAGCTTCTGTCTGCAGGCTGATTGGATGTACTTTCCAGCAAAGACACTTATGGAGCTTGTCTTTTGCTATTCAAACTATACAAGCGAAATGTTTTGCTTTTGGTTTTGTTTTTCTGTTTTCAAGGGAGGCTTTTAGCTTGGAGATTGAACAAATAAACAAAACAAGAAGTATTGAGGCTGGAAAGAGATCTAGCTCTTTTTTATGTTTTGATTAATTTCTTGCTTTAGCTCCATTTCACATTGGTATCTCAATAGTCTTAAATGTGGACTATAGCAAAGCTCCTTAAAGTGTGATCCACAAAAAAGAAGCAGTATCACCTAGGACACTGTTACAAAGGAAAAGTCATGGACACCACCTCAGACACCCTGAATCAGAGAGTGTCTCAGAGTAGGATCCAGGAGTCAGCATTTTAAGAAGGCTTCCAGATGATGCTGATGTAGGCCAAAGCTTGAAAAGCACTATACTAGAAGACTTATTTAAAACCAGAAGAAGTTCTTTAAAATGATATTAAAATATATAATTCTTGAACACATTGCAGAGATCTATAGTTATTTTCATTTTAAGTTTTCAAAAGTCAAATATACAATAAACAAATATTTGAAAATTGTTGACTAGTTATGCTTATTTTTAAAATATTACATTTTTGTCACTAAAAAGTTTATGACGAGACTTGCATGCTATTTCAGATTCGTCCCCAAATTGCCCCTTTCTGGAAATAATATAGGATGGTCAAACATAAAAATCATGATGTAACTGAAAAATGACTTTGGAAGGAAATGATTTGAGGTCGTTATACTCCAATTCTTCTAATGAGATTGATATGAAGTTATCAAAAATCTAAGCTTTACATTAGGCGATTTTTAAGAAGAATTATCAGCCTTCATTAAAATTATTTTATTGGTGTAGAATATCAACTCGTTTGCAATTCCCACACAGGGAATAAAAAATAATCTGTTAACACAGATAAAGTTAAGTAGTATAATTTCTACATATAAAATTAGATTGCCGCAAATATCAAAGTAAAAAATAACCCCAGAAATAAAAAATTTTGAAGTCAATATAAAAAATAAAATTCATGGTGAATTGTTAATGTACTCCAAGACAAAAGGATAAAGTCTCTGCCCTTAAGGAACATTTCAGCCTATTTAATAATAGAAACATTGAGTTTCTATATTACTAGTCCAGTCTATAGTCCATAATATTCAGGTTTATTCTAATTCTCACTGTGAAATTATATGGACAAATTGCTAAACTACCCAGGCTTTAGTTTTATCATCTGTAACAAGGGAAAAATAATAGTGCCTAATTTATAGGGTTAGCATTAATGCTAATCTATATAATGCATGTAAAGCATTTCAGAGTATCTGGCTCTGCAAAATAAACAATAACCATCATTAGTTCAAATTTCAAGAAATAAGTGAATAGGTGGCTTTAGTTATTTTGTTCTCAACTATTTTATTTCTCCATCCAATACTTGTGTTATGTTTCTTTATGGCCGCAAACAGGTTAATAATCACACATATTTGCAACTAATCCAATGGCACTTCACAGGAGACCGTGCAAAAAATGTTTAGAACACTTTTTCACACACACACACAATTTGCAAAGCACTTACACATTAAACAAGCCATTTTAGATTCACTTTTCTTCATCCTATATATCTTTTCAAAACGATAGCCTTTGCAAAGCTATGTTCTAAACATGTTTCAGCACTTTGCCCATCTTCACTACTGCTAACACTATCAGATGGTCTCTCTTTCCAGTTTAGTAACTTCTTGATGTCTATTCCCCTTCTTACCACTCTATTGACATGTCCATTTAAGATCAAAAGTTCTGTATCCTTAAGGAAAGTAAATCGTGGCAGGAACAAGGCATTCTAGGCAGTCTCACTAGAAAGACACATAAATGAGAAAGATGTGAAGAGAGTCATATCAATATAATTGATTTTGAAGAAAAAGAGGTGTTTAAGATGGCCCTATTAATTAACATGTCACAGTTATAATTAATGACTATCAAGTTCAGGTGAATAGTCTTCACTTAATTGTGTATTGAATGAAGAAATGAGTTAGTAGACAACACATATCACATTATTTTGCTTTTCCTCCAAAATGGTACATTTCAAACTATCCACTCTGAATGAACAAGAGGAAGAGAAGAAGAAAGAGGAGTCCTGGTTTAACATATTTCAGCTAGAAATCAAGAAGCCCACATAATCATCTGGACACATGTCATTGGAAACTAGAATGTGGCAACATGAGCAGTGAACAAATGAGCATTACAAAATGGTTATATTTTTAATTTCCATAGTTATAGGCAAAGGTTAATTACTAATTACTACTGGGAGTTAAATAATTTCATTTTAATATATATCATTTTCAAATTCTATTTACCACTCTATCCTTGACCTCTAGCAGGGTGCGGGAAAATGACAGGGGCTCAATCAGGTGATTTTTCAAAGATCAGAGGACAAAAGGTCTATATAAGTAAGTGCGTGTATCTCTCACAGGAAACAAGCCAAGCTATTAGATTAGACCAAAGAATAATTTCAGTGGAATTCTATTCCTAGGACCGTCCTCCACTGAGCGGCTCCACTGGGCTGTTTTATCACAGAATAAGAAGTCATTAAGACAAGTCACTTAAAACCTATGAGAAACAGATATGGCCAGCTGATCTAAGGAGAATTTTTCAACACAGGCATTGGAAAATAATAGAAAAATTATCTTAAAATCTAAACTATATATCACAGTGTCTCCATATAAAAGATAAACCTGAGGGAAACCTGAACTTATATGACAAGACACACACTACTGAAATTTACAGAGGTCTTTTATATGAATTATAATCAAAGAGGACTCTGATGGGTCCTAAATTTGACCAGAATGGCTTGACCCCAAAGTATAGACACTATGAATTAAACTTCAGGAGAGAATGTAAATCTGTGAGTAGGGAAAGCTGAATAAGAATGCAACTTTTGTTAACGTGCTGTCTATTCTCTGGTTTAAAGCACCAGAGAGTACAATCAATTGCCATATTTACAACAGTATCTCAGAAAAGTTCTGTATGTCCTGACTTGATGAGACTTCAAGGTGTTTCTAGCGTCCTTTGGAAACGTAGGCTGTTTTTATAATTATCTTCCCTAAAGAGTTTCTCTAGCAATCCCTGGGGATGGGGAATTATTACTCATAATGAGACCTGTTACCTGTAACTTAATATTTTTTTCTGCTCTCATGTTCATTTTGTTTGCCAGCCAGCATCCTGCAATGCTCATTGTCAATGGCTGTGCAGTACCTGGGCTTATCTGCTCTATTGACCTCTATGTTCTTTTTCATTCTCAACTTCATCATGGACACTCCTTGTTGTCTCTTCCTCGGCTTTTTCAGAGAAATTCTTGGGCCAAGAATGAAATAATTCTTTAGTTCATACCACCTATTTGATGGGAGTCAGATCAAAGAACAATTGGGCATAGGCTCACATTGTATCAGAAATATCCTTTAATTTTGCTGTTTAGCCTGATCTTTCTGATCCAGACAGCCTCACTTCTTCAGTTACAATTTTCCTTTTAAGTTTCCCATTCTCTCTCCCTATTATCAGCTTCTGGGACACTCAGTAAAGGAGTCGAGATTAACTCTTCTCCCCATTAAATCAAAGGGTGTCAACGGTGTATGTTTTAATATTCCCAATGTTCTCAGCCTGTTAAGAGGGGCTTTGCTGCTAGCTATGAAACTGGACTTCAGAAGAACTACAGAGAGAACCAGACAGGCTAGGTATTACATATATATATATATTTGTGTGTATATATATATATTTTTAATTTAAAGAAGCTCTGACAAAGCCAATATATTCCCACAAATTGGTATGGTTTGGCTGTATCCCCATGCAAATCTCATCTTGAACTGTAGTGCCCATAATCCTCATTTGTCCTGGGAGGGACCCAGTGGGAGGTAATTGAATCATAGGGGTGGTTACCTTCATGCTGTTCTCCGGTTAGTTCTCATGAGATCTCATAGGTTTATAATGGATTTTTCCCCTTCTTCACTGTACACTTCTCCTTGCTGCCACCATGTAAAGAAGAACGTGTTTGCTTCCCCTTCTGCCATAACTGTAAGTTTACTGAGACTTACCCAACCCTGCTGAACTGTGAGTCAATTAAACCTTTTCCCTTTATAAATTACCCAGTCTCAAGTATGTCTTTATTAGCAGCATAAAACAGACTAATACACAAATAAACCTCTTATAAAAATAGGAATTTTGAGTACTGATACAGAAGTAATTAGATTGGATGCTAGAGGTAAGGAGATAGTCATGGTTATTTAGTGTAACAAGTCATACTCCAATGAGCTTTTAAATCTAAGAAATAAGATCAAGGATGAAAAAACTGAGGTACATGAATTAACTGTTTTTGTAGGTCAACAATGCTTGAGTATTGGCAATATAAAAATATTTCTGTTGATTTCACTTGTGGAAAATGATTCTGAGTCAGTAATTTACTACTCCTTTTGTAACCTATACTTTAACCCTAGGGTTATAGTCATAGACCAAATAAATCATGCACATTGAAGTTAAAGACAAAATTAAATTTGTCAAGGTGTTAAACCAACACAAAACAAGTCACATATGTAATTTTAAGTTGTCTGGCAACCACATTAAAAATGAAAAGAAACAAGTATTATTAATTTTAACAATATAACATATTTAATATATCCAAATGTTATTAGTATACCACAAATATTACCATTTTATCATGTAATCAAGACAAAAAGTTATGTTTTTTTACTAAGTTTTTGAAATGTAATGTGAATTTTTACACTTACAAATATTTCAGTTTGGACTAACTACATTTCAAGTGCTCAACAGTTTTACATGGATATTGGGTACTCTATTGAAAATTCAGAACTAAATTTTTGAATCTGTCTTTGATAGATTACATTGTACTTATGTATTTTTAATTTCTCTTTTAAGTCAAAGTCATAATTTTTAAGCTGAACTAATTTATCAAACATAACATATATTTCCACAATATATTACAAATAGTATCAATGTGATGCTAGGGGTATTACACTTTAATATAATTTTAAAAAGAATGAATATGCTTTAGGTAAGTGTGCTTCTGTGCTTTTTGGACAAAATTCGTAAATGTTTGAAAAAATATTTATACAAACAAAATATAGAGTAGGCTACAGTCTGTTTACACATCTATTTAGGTTTCAGTTCATGATGTACAGAGAAACCTTTAGGCTGAACTTAAAATATATAAGAAAGCAGCTATAGGCTAAGCTTGATTTAACATGGCATTCCGGAATTATAAAAAACATGAAAATAAACAATATGATAAAAAGTATTACTTTAATTAAAGCCTATTTATTAAGTAAATAAAAGTCCTATTAATAAATCATGGGGTATAGTAATTGATTTAACCTGGAGAAAAATATAATTTTAATATTAATTAACTTAATTTAATCTAAAAACCTATGAGATCACCAGTTCACTGTGCTGTGTAGAGATACAACCAGAGCTCAGATCTGTAAGTAGTTGGTGAACAAAGACATCAGCTACATTTTTTCTGCCTACATTAGCAATGCTGATGTTAGCGAAGGTCACACAAATTATCCCTATTTGATCACAGCCATCTGGCTAGTGATCTCAACTAAAGATTTTAGATACCCACAATTCTTTGTGAAATTGGATTAAAACCTTTAAGTAAGCCTCAGAGGGCATTGCAAAAAGAAATCTCTTAACTCAAGTGCCAGAACCAGGCAAAAGGGTCCTTACACTAAGATCCTTGGTGATGTCCAGCATTTTGCATAACATCAGCAGAGGCTGGGCTGAAGGATCCATGAAGCAGAATTTTTAAAAATGATTAAGAGATAATGGCTGGAAAAGATGCTGTTCGTACAGCGGTGGCTGAAGGACCAGAGTCCTTCTACTTCTGTTTAAATGGGAGAAGCGATTACGTTTCATTTTACTTAGGGCATCTCACTGTTTTAATGACCAGTCACCGTTCCTCCCAGTAATTTCTGATAGGGTCATTAACTTTGGAGAAATGGAGAGGAGTTTAGACACCCTCGAAGCTCATTACTAAAGCCTCAGAAGTTGGAGAAGTTTCTTCTACCTGTTTATTTGCTTAAAAGCTGAAAGTAAATGGCCCAACCATGACAAAATGTCTTAATTTTACATTAACAGAGCTCAGGTTGGCTTTGCCACTGTTGTGACATATGAGAACCATTGTGGGAATTTTCTTGGTGTGACTATGTGTTATTGAATTTTATAACTTTAAAAAATATTTTCTGGTTTTAACTTAATTTACAACATGAAGAATACCAAACATAAAATAATACAATAGTTTGCTAAAAACAATTAGCAAAATTATCTGTGGGTGGAAGTGAAAACAAAATCAATTTCATTTACAAAGAGAGAAGAACATACATGCATGGCAATGTAGTTAGAAAAACAACTTCAATTTAAGTTCACTTTACTCATCAAATTGAATTAGACTATTATAGAATGTCACAGTTGTGTGGGGCCTAAACTAGTCAGGCATAAGAATTATTTGAGAAGGTTTTAGAAATATTAATTCTGAGATTCTGAACAAGATATATATATAGTTTTTAATATGGATATTTTCTATATATATATAGAGAGAGAGGTTTTTTTATATTTTTTTGAGATGGAGTCTCGCTCTGTAACCCAGGCTGGAGTGCAGTGGCACAATCTCGGCTCACTGCAACCTCCGTCTCCTGGGTTCCAGCAATTCTCCTGCCTCAGCCTTCCAAGTAGCTGGGATTACGGGCACACACCGTCATGCCCGGCTAATTTTTTTGCATTTTAGTAGAGATGGGGTTTCATCGTATCACACAGGCTTGTCTCAAAATCCTGAGCTCAGGCAATCCACCTGCCTCAACCTCCCGAAGTGTTAGGATTACAGGAGTGCCCCACTGTATCTGACCTTGAATCTATATTATATTACATGAGAAATTTTTGCTTGTATTCTTCCCATTAATTTTTCCTCTACTCACAACTTCCATATTTTGTCACTTAAACCATTGCTTTTGTATTATTAGGATTTATAACATCCACAGTCTTCTTGGTAGTTAAAGGTGAGTATAGGTAAAAATTTTAAAAATTGAAAACTACTAAACTGTAGTTGAATTACTAAAATTACATAAACGTTAGTCACTACAGAAATATACTCTACCTATAAAGAAGGTGTAAATCCAAAGTATATTAAACAGTGATTCTCAAAGAATGTTCCAAATATCAATGACAAACTTCAATGATATCACATTCCGTTTATTTTGCTGCACTTTTTAGTTTGTTTTATTTGCCCCACGAATTTATTATAGAGTTTATGTTTTTCCTTGATTTCCAGATTGCTTGGTTTTTCTTTTTGATATAATATATATATACTATATCCTTAAGGACATCTATATTTTAAATAGACTAACTTTTAAGTGAATGCTTTGTACTTTACTACTATAGATACAGAATTTTGCTTTGGAAGAAAATATTCACTCATTTTTAAGATACTTAGAGTTCTTGAATTACTTTTTTTCTATGTTATACTAATTTCTTTTTTGAAATATTCTATGATTATTAGTATGAGATTTCTCATCATTACATTGCTTACTGGTCCTGGTTTTTGAGATTGTGGGACTTCTATTTTTTAAATTATTAATAATATGCTGAAGTAGAGAAAAGGTACAGAGATAAATTTGTTAATTTTTGATAGCATGTTTTTATTCTTCAAACATACTTAGTAGCTTTAGTAGATATAGCATTTTGCTTTGAAAAAATTTTTCTCATTTTTAACACTTTGTCACAATATAGTCCAGCACTCAATGTTGCTTTTAAGATATATGAACTCAATGTTATCCTTACCCCTTTGTAAACAATCTATTTGTTCTCTCCTAAAACTTTTAAGAGATGCCCTTAATCTTTGTTATGAAATTGTATTAGTATTTGTATAGTAGCGTTTGCATACTTATGTGTATGCATGTGTGTGTTCCCTCATCTTGTTTGGCATAACGCATCTAATGACATGTGTTGTTTTCAATCTGTTCAGCATTTTCCCCACCCTTCTTTGAATGCCAACACATTTTTCCTTTAAGAAATCTACCCTTCCACACTCTCAGTCCATGTATTGAGGCAAGTCTGACTCCACATTTTGACTTGAGATATGGACTTGTGAATCCAAGACTTACCAGTGAGACTGGTGCCAAATGTTGGACATATGTGTTACTTCAGAGATAATCACATTACTTCAGACCTATGAATGTAACTGCATTATTTACAGCCCTAAGACTTTTGCTGAAAACGCTGAGACCAATAAGCTTTCATTTTGCTAGAATTACAAAACTGATACAACTTTGCATAAGACTACCACATAAAGAGAGTCTAGCTTAGAATTTAGCTTAGAATGAAGCCAAAATAGGTTAAAAAAAAAAAAAAAAAGCAAGAGCCTAGAGACAGAGATAAATAAAAATAATAATGGATAGCTTGTGACTTGAAAGGACCTTCTGGATATATTATGCCTGATGTTAGCATTCAAGCCTAGAATAATTTTCAGATGGGAGACCCCAATATTGCCTTCATTTGTTAAACAATTTTGAGTGAGGTTTCCCTCTATTTCAAAGAAAACAATCTGGACTAGCAGGGAAGTTTCTTGCAATCTCAGGATTAATATGTTGGATGCCTGAACTCTATCTTAACTGTTCTCTCAATTTCCCCGTGTTTTTGTATTTATTTTCCATGTTGTAAGAAAAAACAAGTTTCTAATTTATTTCTCAACATTTTCATTGAACGTATCTTCCAATTTTTTTCCATCCCTTGAATCATGTTTATTAATCTTGTACCTGATCTGTTTCTTCAGATGTCTGCTAATCCTTGACTTCCATTTATATCTATGTATGAGGAAACTAAGTTGTGTGTTTGTGTGTGTGTGTGTGTGTGTGTGTGTGTGTGTGTGTGTATGTATTTTTTTTTTTTTTTTGAGATGGAGTCTCGCTCTGTCCTCCAGGCTGGAGTGCAGTGGCGTGATCTCGGCTCACTGCAAGCTCCTTCTCCCGGGTTCACACCATTCTCCTGCCTCAGCCTCCCGAGTAGCTGGCACTATGAGACTACAGGCGCCCGCCACCACGCCCAGCTAATTTTTTGTATTTTAGTAGAGACGGGGTTTCACCCGTGTTAGCCAGGATGGTCTTGTTCTCCTGACCTCGTGATCCGCCCGCCTCATCCTCTCAAAGTGCTGGGATTACAGGCTTGAGCCACCGCGCCCAGCCAAAACTAAGTTATATATTAAGCGTAGAGAGTATGAAGGACTACTTATTCTTTTTCCCTATCCCTTGCATGGAGTGTGGTTCTTTATACTGTATACGGACAAAGCAAATTGACTATCATACTGGGTGGATATATATCAGCTAGGCATGATGTCAACCTTCCATATACAAAATTATGGATGTTAAAACTGTAGATTGCTAGCATCTGCACCAAGAAGACTATAAAGCAAACATTGTTGCTTATCCAACAGTTGATTAAACATCTAGTATTTTGTTAAAGCAACCCCATTTTTTATTTATGTGTTTGTGTTTCTTAATTTAAAATAATTGGGGCCTTGACTCAGGGCATAAATCATAATTTCTCCAAGCTAAATATTGTTCTAGTCAACAATTTTGTTTTAGATATAAGCCAAATATCTGGTCCCATTTTAGCAATGGAAACTAAAAAAGAAGTCCTTAGATGCTTCTGCTAAATTTTCAATAAAAATAGATTTTTCTTTGTTTCTGTGTTGTACTTGCATGTGAGTCCATTTTGAGTCAATGAGTACAAGCATAAAAATGAGGTGTTGTGCTGAAGAAGGTGGAGAATAAAAGGCCAGTCCGTAATTAGTCTTTTCCTCAGACTTCTGGTTATATAAGATAAATATTCATATTATGTAAACAATATTTATTTGAAATTTCTGAAATTTTCATCCAAAAAGCATTTTATCAAGCAGATAATTTAGTTGCTTAGAGAACAGATCTCTGTATTAGCGTGGAAGCCAATACTGCTGTCACCAATATTGGATGTACAAAGACATAGAATGAGTGAATAAGACAACTGGCATAGTTATCCTATGTAGACTGGCAACTAATTACTCTGGTTACAGTCCTATTTCTCCATTTTGCTTCTGTGATATGTAGACTCCTACCTTGAAATCTCTCTCCAAAATGTCTCCATTAAAAATGGCAAATTATTTCATCCTCACTGCCATCTTGTCCTATTCATTTGGATGTATAATTTCGTATGTTTTTGTGTATTCTTCAAACTATCCACTATTATTTTAAGTCTGAGCCACTTTACGGCTATTCTAACTATTCTCAGTGCCATTATGAATCTATCCCTTAAGAAATAATTTTATTTTATTCTGGATTCAGAGGGAACATGCACATTTGGTATATTGTGTCATGGTGGGGATTGGGCTTCTGTTGTATCCATCATCCAAATAGTAAACATTATACCCAATAGATGATTTCTCATACTTTTCAGCCTCCCACCTTTTCTCCTTTTGGAGTCCCTGGTATCTGTTATTTCTATCTTTATGCCTGTGTGTACCCATTGTTAGATCTTCAACGTAAATTCTTTGCTTAAGCCAATGTCTAAAGGAGTTCTTACGTTTTCTTCTAGGATTTTCATAGTTTCAGGTTGTACATTTAAGTTTTTAACCTTCATTATTCATTTTTTTAAAAATTTTTTTTGAGACAGTCTCGCTCTGTCACCCAGGCTGGAGTGCAGTGGTGCGATCTTGGCTCTCTGCAACCTCTGCCTCCCAAGTTCAAGTGATTCTCCTGCCTCAGCCTCCTGAGTACTGGGATTACAGGAGCACGCCACCATGTCTGGCTAATTTTTATATTTTTAATAGAGACGGGGTTTCACCATGTTGGTCAGGGTGGTCTCGAACTCCTGACCTCGTGATCTGCCCATGTCGGCCTCCCAAAGTTCTGCTCTTATTGCAGAGTAATCTTATATTTTAAATTTACTATTTCCACATGCATTAAAACTTTTACTTGAAACTATTGTTGCAAACATTAACTTAATTACCTAAAACATAATTGACCTAAAATATGGAAGATCTATTTTGCACTCATTTTTTTAATTGACTCAAAATTTAAATGTTATAATATTAGACTCTATTTGTCTTAACACTAAATACATGGAAACAAATTTTTAAATATCCTAGAAGATACCATTAATTTTTCATATTTGTGTAATTTACCTTCATCCATTCTTCAAACATTTAGAGAGTGTCTACTATGCATGAGGTACTGTATTTGTCAATACGTAATTGACTGGGCAAACTAGAATGAATATTACATATAGTACATATATATAAATTCTAGTTTCATATGTTATATATTTTGATTAATGTATATAATATGTGTAATATATTACACATATGTATAATATATAATTAATATATATTATACATACTAACATATATAATGTATATAAATATATTACATGTACACATGTATTATAATATATATGTGTATATATTATATATTATATGTTTTATATGTGTGTATATACATATTATTAAAAAAAGAATAATATGAAGCTAACCTAAAAGAGTGGTCAACATGGCAAATAGTCACATGAGTTGGTAAGTGAGTTGGTATTTGAGGTGATTCTTAAAAGATAAAAATATGTGGATAAAGTAACTTAGTGGATAGACATTTTAGTAACTTCTAACAGCAAAAGGAAGGAACATATGATGAACATTTGATGAATAACATATTCATCAAAAGCTAAGCTAAAGGCAGCTGAGTTGCTAGGTGTTAAAGTAGCTAATTCAGACAATAAGCCAAAATAACAGTAATTGTAAAATCTTTAATCACTTAATGTGATCGTTTAAGCAAGAGGCTAAATAGAAGAAAGCACTGGCTCTCTAAATGTTCTATTTTTTCCCCATGGAGTAATACTGGGTGAAGATCAGGTGGAATGCCACATGGAGAATTCTCACTGCCCAGAGAGCTGTGAACAAAATATTCTTGCTCCTTTGTGGTCCCAGGTATTGGGAGAGAGGGGGGAAAGTGCTAGAAATGGAAAAGTACTGAATGCTGATTCAGAGTAGAGACCAAATGTTTTCGAGGTCCTCCAATAAGGAGATTTCCAAATGCAGGTTATGAAAGCAGTTATGCATAAGATCATAACCAGCCAGTGAGGCCTGAAATGTTGGCTGCACTCTCTTCAGGGCCTGCAATACCTTGGCTGTGCACCAAATCTGGTGTGAGAGGGAAAACTTTCTCCCATGAGAACTATTTAGGTCAGTGCAAAACTTATTTAAAGTAATGGCGAAAATCACAATAACTTTTGCACCAACCTAACCAAGTTAATTTTTGTAATTACCTGTGTTTGGACCTAAAAGATTACACATAGTTTTGAATTAGGAGCTGAACTTCTCAATATCCAGAATGATTTGGCTACACAAGATCAGATGGACATAATGGAAGACAGTATTGGAGAGCCAATTTTATGAACATCATGGAAGGTTTTCCATGTCATGCAATCTGTCCTTAATCGTATGGAGACTTTTGAAGAGATTTTTCTCTTATGTTAGAAAGATAATGTGGTCTTAATCATGAACATATATTGAATTGTGTTAGCAAGTATTTGAACCAAATATGTTTGGAGTGTAGGAAGAGTAGTATAAGATACGATTAGAAATATAAAGAAACATTTTATAATGATTTAAAGAATGCTATTTATCAGGAAGATATTATAGTGCTAATTTTGTATACCATTAGTAATATAGACTCAAAATTATAAAACAAAAATATACAAAAGAGAAAAATATCAAATATGCAGTGGAAAGTATTAATACTCCTTTTGCAGAAACTGATGGAACACCAAAGAATAAGTAAGGATATCAAAAATTTGATCAATCCATAAATGTAAACATAGATTCAAAACATACTAGCAAACTTATTATGGTACATAAAAATGCTGCATTGTAATTAAATTTGTGTTTTCCAGAATTATGAGTTGGCTTAACATTTTTGAAAATGAATCAGTATAATTCTTTACATTAAGAGAATAAGTGAGGCAGTTCACATGATTAGCTCAATACATGGAAAACTTTGATATAATTGAACAATTATTAATACAAAACTTTAAGCAAACTAGGAAGACATTTATTCATCAATCTAAAAGGGGATGGAAAAACATATGGATAGGTGACTTTTATGTAACTACTATCACATTTAATAGTAAAATGTTTTAAATAAAGTTAAATCTTTTTCAGATTGGAAATGAATTAAGAATGTCCACTATCACCATTTTCATTTATTAGAAGTTATAGCCAGTGCAATAACACAATATGACATGGGTGATGGCAAATAAATAAATAAAACTACCATTATTTACATTAATTATGAAAATAGAAAATTAAACCTGCATAAAAATTTAAAGTTTATGTTGGCCAGATTGATGAATACAAGGTCAATATACAAAAATCAATTCATTTTTATTAAACCATTAACAAGCAATTACACATTAAACTGAAAAAGAGTGTAATTAGCAATAACATAAAATTTGAAAATATAAAATCTAGAAATAAACCAAATGAAAGATACTTATAAACTCTTCAAACACATTTCAAACATTATTGAACACATAAGTAAACACATAAAATAGAAGAATATATTATATTTATGAAACAGTTATTTCAATGTTTTAAAGATATCAATAGTTCCCAAAACATTCCATGAAATCCCAATAAAATCTCATAGGTTTCTGGTAGAAGTTGACATGCAATTAGAAGTTATCCACAAATGCAAAGGGTCATGAATGTTCCATAAATACTTGACAAGGGAGAACAAGGTGGGAAAAACTTCTTCATTGGACATTGAGATTTATACTAAAACTATACTAATTAGGGGAGGAAGGCAGACAATCAATCAGATGTAGAATCCAGAAACAGTATGTAGCACAGGCCAAAGTGGCATGGTAGAGAGTAGAAAAGTGTGCCATTTTTAATAATCCATGCTTGGTCAATTGAATATACACATGAGCAAATAAATAGTAATATTAATAATAAATGAACTTAATCTGTATCATATACCCTTTACAGAAAATAATCCCAGGCACCTTGTGGAAGTAGCAAAACAATACTTCCAGAAGAAAATCTAGAAGAGCACATCTTTATAACCTTGAAATCATGATGTATTTAAATGGTTAATCATTGAAAGACTAATACATTACTCAACTGGACTACATAAAATTTTTTAATTGCTTATTAAATGATATTATAAAAACAAAAAGAAATGATGGAGTCTGTAAGTGAGAGAAAGGAAACTATGGAGAAAACGTCTAAGACAAGAAGGTCATATTGGAATATTTAAAGATCTATAATTTCATAAGAAATGGTAGGGAAGCTAAAAGAAAGTGGACAAGAATTTCAGACAGGCATTGTCCAAGGAGGATAGCCAAATGGCCAATATACTTATTAAAAGTGACTTAACCATGAGTAGTTACCCAGTAGTTGCAAGTGGTGAGAATAGGAATGAAAACTAGAAAGAAATCAAATGTCCCTGCAAAGGAGTTTGTTAACAAAAGCTCATTGTTTATGAGCTATGTGCAGTGAGGAACATGTTTTAGAATAAGATATAATACCATGAAAAGATTGTCATGATATGCACGTGCATGAGAGAGAGAGATTAGGAAAGAGAGAGGAAGAGGCAAGTAAATCTAAATAATAGAATGCACATTAATGATTTTATATTTAAAAAACTAGACTAAAATGATACCAAGGGAAACATAACAGTTATTTTCTCCTGGCTGGTAAAATTATAGAAAAACTTTATTTTTATATTTTTGCATGTATGTTTTCAAAATTATAAGATGAGAATGTTTGGTATGATAGTATTAAGCTACTTTCAACACCAAAATATAAACAATAATGGTAAGGGGAATGTAACTTCCTAATGCTTTTCTTTTTTAATGAGAGGGCTAGTATTTGCATTTGTCTTACCTCAACGATCACCTCTATTTAGTTAAACACATACACACACACACACACACACACACACACACGAACAGTAATTTACCTCACTTTCTTTTATGAAGAAGGACCTAAGAATGTGTTGCTCAGCCCCTTACTTTCTTCTCCCTTTTTTGGTATCTCCTGCTTCCCAGTCTGAGTCTGGTTTGGCCTTAGACATGTGGTGAACTTAATGGAGCAGGCCCTGTCCCTGTACTGTGCACAGGCCTGTAGGTTTTTAGCTCTGCCAATTTATGCAAAGAAAAGATGCTTATTAATGGGTGAAGTATTAACAATCCACCGCTGCCGTGACAGATTTAAGCAAATCCCCATTTTCATCTTTCTGCCCCTCATATCTTTTAACTGGATCTTAACTTGGATAGCCAAGATAATATTATTTGTTGGATCACCTACAACAACAAGAGGATAAAAAATGAAATATGTGGCATCATGACTGTCCTTTGAGCCTAATATTTTGAATATTTGTTTTATTTCTTTTAGAGACAGGGTTTCACTTTGTAATCCAGGCTAGAGTGAAGTGGCATAATCATAGTTCACTGCAACCCCAAACTCCTGGGCTCAAATGATCCTCACGCCTTGGCCTCCTGAGTAGGAGTAGCTGGGACTCCAGGTGCATGCCACCATGCCTGGCTAATTTTTTTTTTTTTTCATTTTGTGTAGAGATGGGGTCTCATTATGTTGTCTAGGCTGGTCTCAAACTGGTGGACTCAAGCGATCCTCCCACCTCGGCCTCCCAAATTCTTGAGATTACCAGCATAAGCCACTACACCCAGGCTGAGCCTAGTATTTCTTTTGATATATTAATATCTTTGAGACTATTTTATATTTTTATTGAATATTGCATCACAAAATATATGCTTTTTATACTCCACTGCCTCAGTTATCTGCTGTTAATCTGAAGATAACAAAGTAAAAAATGTCGTGACCAGAATTGAGTTTAGAAGTAGCTGAATACCAATTGCCATGTTTAGGCCAAAGTGAAAGTTGTAGAAGACAGCGAGAAAAGGATGAACTAAAATGCAGGGAATGAAAAGTTCCAAAAAACATTCCTAAAATGTAATCTTTTCTCATGATAATGTCCAAAATGATTTCTCTGCATTAATCTGTCATTCATTTAATGAGATTTAAAGATTAGTATTTCAAATAATAGGCTCTAGAGTCAAATTCTCTGGATTCAAATCCCAGATCTTCTGCTTACTGGATCTATTGTTCCAGGTACTGAATTGTTTTATGGCTGAGTTTTATGATCTGTGGAGGAAGTAATGACTGAACCTACCTCATAGAGTTGTGTGGAAGAAGAAAGAAAGTATGTATAAAATATTTTGTACAGCATCTGTGCAATGACTCAATAGATGTTAGGCCTATTACTATTACATTGTATTACTATTATATTATTATTGTCATACTTACAAGGAAAATTTTTCTTTGTCTTTGCTATTTTAAAATCAAAATCACTTAATATTCAATTTTAGCTGAATATAAAACTCATTTTTTATTAAAAACCTTCTTTAGTTTGCAGCATCTTAGAAATTTTTCTTCTGTGCACAGCCACAAAACTCCCAAGAGACACTTAAATATACAAAAGAATCACTTGATTTTATCATTTTGATCTTATATGAATTCACGCCATCTTCTTCTTGTTTAGTAGACTGAAAATTTGTTGTAGAGATAAGTTAACACACTAGTAGTCCAGCACTATTAAAGTTTACAGTAGCTTAAAATAAGTGACTTTTTTTTCCCCCCACAGCTTTGCCACTAACAGGCCCCAAAATCCCCACTTGGTAGTCAAGTTATAAGATGACTGTCAAGAGAGCCACAATAAATATATTCAAATCTCTGCAGAATTTTTTCCCTTTGTCATTATTTCCATGGTCTATAAGTCAATAAGAATATGCCAAATGCCTTTAGAGCATTGTAACTTGATGCTTTGAAGGGTGGGCTCATATGATGTTTCAAACTCTTTAATATAAACTCAGGAAAAAAGTCACTAATGCCTTCAGTAGCTTTAGGACTCTGTCAGATTTCAAACTCTGCATATTAAATCAGTTATGCTAAAGAAGGACAAATTTCCTAAATAGTGTTGTCAGTTCCTATTTTAAAAGAAGCTTGTTAATTCCGTTTTGCTCTGTCTCTACCTCTCTGAATGTCTCTCCTCACTCTGCCTTAGTGATAGTAAGGCCCCAAACTCCAGTTGATGTCATCATTACATTTTGGATATAAATTATTTATTTTAAATGTGACAGAAATATTTTCAAATTAAGAGATGTATTTTAAGACACTCAATTTCAAATAATCAGGTAAATGTATTAAAAATAAACAAACATGAGGCTGGGCATTGTGGCTCATGCCTGCAATCCCAGCACGTTGGGAGGACAAGACAGGCAGATGGCTTAAGCTCATGAGTTCAAGGCCAGCCTGGGCCACAATGGTAAAACCCTGTCTCTACAAAAAATACAAAATTAGCTGTGTGTGGTGGCACTTGCCTATATTCCCAGATACACAGGAGGATGAGGCGGGAGGATGGCTTAAGCCCAGGAGGCAGAGGTTGCAGTGAGCCGAGATTGCACCACTGCCCTCCAGTCTAGGTAATAGAGACAAAACTTGTCTTAAATAAATAAACAGATAAATAAAAACAAATATGAATTTTGGTTGTATCTTGGAGGTGCATTCTGAGGTTTTACTCTTTATGTTTTTTCTATATTTTCAACATTTTCTTCAAAGAACATCTGTTTAATAATAATAAAATAGAAATAAGCCATTAAAACAATATCATACATACAAGTACTTGATAAATTATAAATCTATATGTAAAGCTAAGGAAATATTGTAGTTTTCTTTGTATGTGTCATCATGGAATATCCAAATTACAGTTTTCAAATTACATTTTATTTCTCGAATAGAAATATTTTCAGCTTACACAAAGCATCTCAAATAGTGCCCTTAAAACTGTGTTTTATTAATCTTCTCTATGTTTCTTTGAGATTATTACTGATATTATTATTTTGTAATTTTTGTGATCAGATAAAGGTAGTGATATGGTTTGGCTGTGTCCCCACTCTTGAACTATAGCTCCCATAATCCCCAGGTGTCATGGGAGGGACCCAGCGGGAGGTAATTGAATAATGGGGACGTTACCTCCATGCTGTTCTCTTGATGGTAAATGAGTTCTCATGAGATGTGATGGTTTTATAAGGGGCTTTCTCCCGACTTTGCTCTGCACTTCTTGCTCCCTCCGTGTGGAAAAGATGTGTTTTCTTCCCCTTCCACCATGATTGTAGGTTTCCTGAGGCTTTCCCAGCCCTGGGGAACTGTAAGTCAATTAAACCTCTTTTCTTTATAAATTACCCATTCTCAGGTAAGTCCTTATAGCAACTTGAGAATGGACTAATACAATAAATTGGTAACAGGTAGCAGGGCACTGCTGTAAAGATACCTGAAAATGTGGAAGCAACTTCGGAACTGGATAACAGGCAGAGGTTGGAACAGTTGGAGGGCTCAGAAGAAGACAGGAAAATGTGGAAAGTTTGGAACTTCCAAGAGATTTGGAGGGCTCAGAAGACAGGAAGATGTGGGAAAGTTTGGAACTACCTAGAGACTTGTTGAATGGCTTTGACCAAAATGCTCATAGTGATATGGACAATAAAGACCAGGTTGAGGCGGTTTCAGATGGAGATAAGAAAACTTTTTGGAAACTGGAGTAAAGGTCACTCTTGCTATGCAAAGAGACTGCCAGCACTTTCCCCCACCCTAGAGATCTTGGGAACTTTAAACTTGAGAGAGATGATTTAGGGTATCTGTCAGAAGAAATATCTAAGTAGCAAAGCATTCAAGATGAAGCAGAACAAAAAAGTTTGAAAAATTTACAGCCTGACAATGAGATAGAAAAGAAAAAGCCATCTTCTGAGTAGAAATTCAAGTGGCTGCAAAATTTTGCATAATGAGAAGCCAAATGTTAACCTCCATTACAATGGGAAAAATGTTTCCAGGGCATGTCAGAGATCTTCACAGCAGTCTCTCCCATCACAAGCCTGGAGACCTAGGAGAAAAAAAAATGGGTTTTATGGGCCTGGCCCAAGGCCTTGCTGTTTTGTGCAGTCTTGGGACATGGTACCCTGTGTCCCAGCCACTCCAGTCATGGCTAAAAGGGGCCAACAGCTCAAGCCATTGCTTCAGAAAGTGCAAGCCCCAAACTTTGGCAGCTTCCATATGGTGTTGGGCCTGCCAAGTGTGCAGAAGTCAAGAATTGAGGTTTGGGAACCTCTGCCTAGATTTCAGAGGATGTATGGAAATGCCTGGATGTCCAAGCTGAAGTCTGTGGCAAGGGTGGAGCCCTTATGGAGAACCTCTGCTAGGGCAGTGCAGAAGGAAAATGTGGGGTTGAAGCCCCCACAGAGTTCCCACTGGGGCACTACTTGGTGGAGCTGTGAGAAGAGGGCCACCATGCTCCAGACCTTAGAATGGTAGATCCACTAACAGTTTCCACTGCACACCTGAAAAAGCCATAGTCAGGCAATGCCAGCCCATGAAAGCGGCTGAGAGGGAGGCTGTACCCTGAAAAGCTACAGAGGCAGAGCTGCCCAAGGCTGAAGGAGCCCACCTCTTGTATCAATGTGACTTGGATATGAGATATGGAGTCAAAGGGGATCATTTTGGACTTTTAAGGTTTAATGATTGCCCTATCAATTTTCAGAATTGCATGGGGTCTGTAGCCCCTTTGTTTCAGCAACTTTCTCATTTGGAATGAGTATATTTACTCAATGCCTGTACCTCCATTGTATCTATGAAGTAACTAACTTGTTTTTGATTTTATAAGCTCAAAGGTGGAAGGGACTTGCCTTGTCTCAGATGAGACTTCGAACTTGGACGTTTAAGTTAATGCTGGAATGCATTAAGACTTTGGGTAACTGTTGGGAAGGCATGATTGTATTTTGAAATGTGAGGACATAAGATTTGGGAGGGTCTAGGCTTGGAATGATTAGGTTTGGTTGTGTCCCCACCTAAATCTCATCTTGAATTGTAGTTCCCATAATCCCCACATGTTGTGGGAGGGACCAAGTGGGAGGTAGTTTAATCACAGGGTGGTTATATTCCTATTGTTTTCATGATAGTGAGTGAGCTCTCCTGAGATGTGATGGTTTTATGAGAGGTCTTTCCCCAGCTTTGCTCTGCACTTCTCCTCGCTGTCTCCATGTGAATAAGGATGTGTTTGCTTCCCCTTCTGCCATGATTGTAAGTTTCCAGAGGCTACTCCAGACCTGCGTATCTGTGAGTCAGTTAAACCTCTTTCCTTTATAAATTACCCAGCGTCAGGTACATAATTATAACAGCTTGAGAATCGACTAATACAGGTGGATATGTTGATTATCTAAGGCCATGGCATGGGTCTATGGATAATGTCAGGCTCACACTCAATGTATACTTTACATTTTGTTGCCTCTATAATATTGATTAGAGATGAAATGCATCAAGGAAGCATTTATAATACTGAAAAAAATTATCATACCACTGTCCACATGTGTCAAAGAAATATATACATTCCAAGATCTTTAAGGGTAACTAAAGGAGG
Organism: Homo sapiens; assembly: GCF_000001405.40. Taxonomy (NCBI): domain Eukaryota; kingdom Metazoa; phylum Chordata; class Mammalia; order Primates; family Hominidae; genus Homo; species Homo sapiens. The sequence goes on along the minus strand of NC_000006.12, from coordinate 94,576,031 downwards.
GGAAAATTTAAACAAATTGATAATATTGATTTCATTTTTTCAAATGCATGAAGTGATTACCTTTTCAAATTACAGTAAGGAAAAAATTTAAAAAACAAATCAGTATGCATACTTTGAGATTACAAATAAGAATTATGTGAAACTGTGAGAGATGACAGATGAAAAATAAATTATATTAAAAGTCACATAGGCCTTTTTCTAACCCACCTTCTTGGAATGATTTAAATGAACAAGGAAAGACATTCCTCAGCCCTTGAGTTAAAACTTAAGACATTATTATTATTACAATTACAGAAAAACAAGCATGAAATATCAAAATATGTGAAAGAAACATATAGCTTTTTGTGCAAGATGAACAAAATTAATAGGCAAAGGCCATTGCATAATCTTTGAAAATCGTAACTTTACCAAGATTGTGGCAATAAATATTTATTCCACCAATTTAGGAAACACTGTCTACAAAATGCTAAAATTGCCCTTTCTTCTACTAGGTGTAGAGAAAAGTGAGTTTTAAATTACAGATAATTTATCTGCCTTAAAAGCCATTCACTTACTTTTGGCTCATAGGTTAAACATGTTTATTTTTTCACGTAGATTTTGTCTGTTATTACTTAAACTGCTCTTCTACAGTGATCTGAAACATAAATTGCAGGAAGTATGGTAGAAGAAATTCATTATAGGAAAAAACATACATTTAACTAAACAACAGCTCCCTGTATTGCACATCTAGAATAATATTTACATCCACCTTTCCTTGCTTAGATCTGTATTACAAATGGAGGTGTCCTTTCTAATGTCACAGGAAAAATCACTTCCCTGGTTTTAGTATTCATCACATTCTCTTCCTTTATTTTCACGGGTCTTCCTCCTTCAGTTATTGTTTCCCTTTCACATAGGTAAGTCTTTTGCTCTTTAGTGGTTCTCACAAATATATATATATATATTTTTCTCTTTTTTTATTATACTTTAAGTTCTAGGGTACATGTGCACAACATGCAGGTTTGTTACATATGTATGCATGTGCCATGTTGGTGTGCTGCACCCATTAACTCGTCATTTACATTAGGTATATCTCCTAATGCTATCCCACCCCCATCCCCCACCCCACAACAGGCCCCAGTGTGTGATGTTCCCCTTCCTGTGTCCAAGTGTTCCCATTGTTCAATTCCCACCTATGAGTGAGAACATGCAGTGTTAGGTTGCTTGTCCTTGCGATAGTTTGCTGAGAATGATAGTTTCCAGCTTCATCCATGTCCCTACAAAGGACATGAATTCATCCTTTTTTACAGCTGCCTAGTATTCCATAGTGTATATGTGCCACATTTTCTTAATCCAGTCTATCATTGGTGGACATTTGGGTTGGTTCCAAGTCTTTGCTATTGTGAATAGTGCCACAATAAACATACATGTGCATGTGTCTTTACAGCAGCATGATTTATAATCCTTTGGGTATATACCCAGTAATGGGATGGCTGGGTCAAATGGTATTTCTAGTTCTAGATCCCTGAGGAATTGCCACACTGTCTTCCACAATGGTTGAACTAGTTTACCATCCCACCAACAGTGTAAAAGTGTTCCTATTTATCCACATCCTCTACTGCACCTGTTTTTTCCTGACTTTTTAATGGCTGCCATTCTAACTGGTGTGAGATGGTATCTCATTGTGGTTTTGATTTGCATTTCTCTGATGGCCAGTGATGATGAGCATTTTTTCATGTGTCTTTTGGCTGCATAAATGTCTTCTTTTGAGAAGTGTCTGTTCATATCCTCTGCCCACTTTTTGATGGGGTTGTTTGTTTTTTTCTTGTAAATTTGTTTGAGTTCATTGTAGATTCTGGATATTAGCCCTTTGTCAGATGAGTAGATTGCAAAAATTTTCTCCCATTCTATAGGTTGCCTGTTCACTCTGATGGTAGTTTCTCTTGCTGTGCAGAAGCTCTTCACTTTAATTAGATCTCACTTGTCAATTCTGGCTTTTGTTGCCATTGCTTTTGGTGTTTTAGACATGAAGTCCTTGCCAATGCCTATGTCCTGAATGGTATTTGTAATGATTCTTAAAAGCTAAGTGATTTTATTGCTATACACATGAAATAAACTAAATTACTTATAGCCATTTATTATTTCTAGTGGTTACTATTGTTGTCTTAACTACGTATTAAGAATAAATGCATTTCTTGGATACTAACAGACTATCAGTTTTTAAAGGACTTTTGGTGATCACTATTGGTTTTCTATGCATTCGCAGGATAAAACGTACATGTTCCTCATCTCAAGTCTAATGACAGAGAATCAAGGAATGCCATGTGGGAAGTGCCATATGCATTTCTTATAGTTGAAGAATACATTGTATTACTGTCAAATTCCTTCTTGACAGCTCTACAGGTCTAGAGATGAACTAGCTAGCTGCTTATGGACAAGCCAAAGTAGATCTTTCTGTTGTAGTGGAATCGGTTAGGACAAGATTTTATTAGGGCAAATAATGAATATATATTATTAGTGTTTTATGTAGACTGGCTGGAAGCTATGAAAGGAGAGTGCACAGGAGAGTGTCATTCTAGGTCTTTCCATGAAATGCACTTGGCAAGGAAAATAGACTCGGCAGAGTAAAGCTAGGAAAGCTAGAAAGACCTCAGAGAGGGAGAGAGCCTGACCCAAAGGAGGGCACTGCTGTGAGACATGACTGGCAGTGGGGGAGTTTCTGTAAGGAACCACAAATGACTTCCTGGATAGACTTGTTATGTCATCTAATTTCTCTTATTTTGTTCCATCCATAGGCTTGCATTCTTGGAAGGTAAAGGGATAAGAAGCTGTGAAGGTGAGTTACCATGAGAGATAAAGAAAAAATAATCTAACTTACACTCTTGTTCTCAGAGTAGAGGCTTATCACTCACTACAGGGTGGAACTTAGGTTTGGAAAATACTGTGACTAGTTTTTTTATTATTATTATAAAAGACTGGGCTTTTTATTGTTGTTGTGTATATATATTTATTTATTTATTTATTTTAGATTTTTTGTGATTTAAAATAATCAGAGAAAAATGACAAGTCCTGTCAGCTTTTTAAAGTTAAAAACTTAACTCCGTCTAATAAAGACACACTGGGAAATGAATACAAAGTTACTTTACTATTTAATCTCATCATGCATGTTTGTTCATCTTACTGGTTTCTACCATTTAGACATACAAGATGCTGGTTGAGTTTTATATAACTTTGTAGGTACATGTATGAGTGCTTCTTTAAAATAGATATTTAAAAGTACAATTCCTATTCTTATGCCTTAAGTTATATGACTTTTAAATTGGACTAAATATAATCAAATAGTACTCCAAAATGTTTAGAACAATTTGTACTCTCACAGCAATAAATAAACATTTGTTGTTTACCATAACCTTTCCAACATTTCATGTATTTTATGATTTAAACTGGGTTTTTTAAACTATGTCTCAACGTTTTAGTTTTTCCATAGTTTCACATACCATTGCTTATCTTTTTTTGTTTACATTTTATATCTTGTTTAAGAAAATATAGTCTTGTGCAAAAAAAAAGATCGTTGTTAATTATTTTAAAGTTATCTCTTATTTACACTTGAATCTTCAATCCAGTTGTACTTAATTCTTGATCCTTATGATTTATTTGACTATAAATATAAAAATTCAGTTTACCCAATACCATGTTTGATTAGATTATATTCTTCTCCTAGTTAATGTCCTCTATTTGATTATAATACGGTTTCTGGGTTTGATTCTACTTTTGCAAAAAGTGACAAATTTTATATAGATATAGCATTAGTATCTGTGGTCATGTTTATATATACATATCTATTTAAATTAACATATATCTTCTACATATGCATTCATAAAATGCAAGTAGTAATTATTTTCTCAACTATTTTTTCTGATTTTTTACATACAACAATAAAATATTTTTAAAGTAACTGTATATAGAATATTTAAATAATTAATATAAAAATAATCATTATCTTTGAATGGGAAATATATAGCATAAAAATAGTGATATATGCTTTGTCAGAACAGACTTTTTTATACTATTTTTTGGAGTATACATTTTCTTTCTTTTAAGCAAGAGGCTATGTGAATCAAGATTTTTTAAAGTTTTATGTCCTTTTATCATTAAGTTTAGTTCTAGAAGCCTAACCCCAATAAATAATCAAAACCATCCACACTTATAAGCCACATTGCTCATTGCAACTGTGTTTATAAAATAAAAAACATAGATGCCCTAAATTCAAAACATCATTTTAATGATCAAGTAAAGATTGTTAATAAAGAAGATGGAAATTTATATTTAATTCAAATTAAATTTTTAAATATTTTTACTGATACGAGCAAATGTTATTAACATACCACTTATGAGAAAAATAACTTTACCCAAAATAATACACAAATTTATTAAATGAAAACAGAAAACTATATAGTAACATAATATTTTAACTAAAAATAGCTGAATTACATTTATCTGCACATGCTTGTTTTGGTTTGTAAAATCCTAAAGATAGACATGGAAAGGTAACAGTAAATGTTAGTTTTTTTTAATCATCAGATGAAAGCTCTGGGAGAAAAAGAAATTATTAACGGAAATACACATAGTTTCCAGAGGCAAGACTAGAAGCAAAGTCTAATATTTGAAAGTGGTTATTTTGATGTCAAGGAGATAGATTATTTACTCCTTTATATATTTGCCATAATTTAAATATTTTTGTACACTTAGCACATATTTATTTTATAAACATAATTCAATTTATTTTCTTATTTGAAATAAATGTTTAATGATAAAATAGTAATGCAGTAATGAATACTAAAAAGTGTAATACTTAATCATACTTTTCAGGAGCAAAATCACCTATAGAGATATATCTTAAAACATACATTTTTCTCTGTGTCTAAAAAACCAGTACCCAAATTCATAACAGTAAGCCAGTGTCACTCACGCTGCTACCAATATCAAAGTTGACAGACAAGCCCCAGAGCAGGTGGATTGCTTCAATTATTCACCATCTACAATGAATACAAAATAACTTCTAAAAGCTTTCTGGAGATCTGTAAGATGCTGGCTATGGCTTATAGCAATATGACATTGATGATGAAGCTTGGACAAGATAAAAGCTCAAAAATAAAAAGAATGACAAGGCATTGTTTTTTGTGGCCTTTAGTTTGGCAATTATTTAACTATAACTGCAACAGCTGGCCACTGAAAGGACGGTATCAGGACCCCTTGAAGGGTGCTGGGATGTGATGCTATTGGCAGGCCGCCTATGAGTCTGAGATGAAATAAGCCCAGCAACTGGACGTTTCAGCAGCTGGCCAGACAAAGGATATTGTTCAGAGATTTAACAGCTGATAATTGAGCATTCTAGTAATATTTGTTGAAAAGAAAGTGGTCACCAAATGGATAATATTCGAAAACAATCGATATTGATATTCTAAAGTTTGAGAGCAGGGTTTATGAGAAGGTAAGCCAAGAAGCATGAGATTGTCATTATCTCATCTTTTTCTGAAAGACTTTCAGAAAGATTAGGTTGGAGATTTGTAGTACAAAATGAAAAGAATCATGCTTATACTCCAACCTTGAACAGGCATTTTATATAATATGACTTCCTCCTCACAAATCCATCATATTGCCCTGAAACAATCCATTTCTTCTTTACTGCCACCTCATTGTTTTTCCTAACATGGTAATATTGTGTAATATACCTCTTTAAATATTCTTTCTGTTACCTCATAAAAGAAAATTGTGTCTATTTTTCATTGACTAATATATTTAACTCTTTTATAAGTCCATTTACTCAAAAACATAAAAAAAAAACACCTGAAAGACAATTCATTCTGAATAAAACAAAGTAAGTAGTGAAAAAAAATTATACATTTCACTGATAGTAAAGATGAATTTATCTTGTTTTATGGAGATACACTTAAATACAATAGAAAAAATACAACACCTTAAATTATTAATTTCTCTACAAATTTAGCTTTCAAAACTTAAACGATACCATATAATTATAATATTTACATTTGATGTGAGGAAAAGTATATTTATTTTCATAATTAAGAATCATCATATACAGTTAGTGATTTATAAGCCCTGGGTAACTAAAAAATGAAAATATTGAATTTGGATTTTCATGCAGATATTTCTGATTTGTTTTTGTACAAGTAGCTTTTCAAACATTCCCTAATTTAAAAAAATCACTTTTGACACAAGTTCAGCATTTCAGAGTTTTCCTATAGCATTCATTAAGGTACATGCCTTTTTGGAAATGTTCCATTAAAGCATAATTGTTTGAAGAAACTGGTAGAATTTAGTTACAGCAATTTTCATTGATTTAACATGAAGAGAATTCTGACTTCTCCAAATGGGGTAGCTCATGGATTTCCCAGGACATGATGCCAAATGAAATACACAGTACAAAATTAAGGGGCAAACAAAGATCTCATCTTATCTCACTTTATCAGTTACAAGCACTTTATCAGTTACAAGCACCATATTGAAAACAAGAGTCAGAAAGTGAGAAAAGAATTATCTATTACTTTTAATAGGACATATGGACAAAATAATAAATGTGAAGACACTGACTAGAAAGAGTTCAAATCCATGAAATGGTGATTTGAGCTCTTTAGGGTTTAATGAGCATTGGAAGAGTATAAGCTTTGTACAAGTGGGGTCATGTTTCACTATAAAAATGTGTGCTGGCCAACAAAAAAAGAAAAAAGCGCTTCTTGCTTTTTGTTGAAAAATCCATAATCCTTAAGATATCTTAACATTTGTGAACAATGGAAGTTCCCAATAGATAATTTTCCCTTTTTTTTTTTTTGGGTATTTTTTTGAAAAGAGATAACTCAGAATAAGTAAACTTCCAAACATTTTTAGGAAAAACCTTTTTGATAACTTTCTCCATTTCACAGAAATCCATTAAACTACATTTAAAAAACACAATAAGAATGCATGTGTGTGTAGACTTAGCCATATGATTCTACATATATATGTACATATGTATTCACCTATATACCTCTCTACTTTCAGAATGATGATTGGTTAGCATCCAGTATTCCTAACATGATATGTTTTGCAAAAAATGATTAGAAGTGTATTGCTTCACCTACTAACATCTTCTTGGTGTTAGTAGAAATAGTAATTATGAACACCAAAATTGTTTATGAATAGTTTTCTGGTAATTTATTTCCATTATTGCATTTTGATGACCTCAGAACACAAAGTCATGTAAGCAGGTTAGTATCACCATTGACTACTTCCCCTTGGTTTTTAAAGCAGTCATATTATGACCTTGCAATCAATTGGTATTCCCGTTCTCCACATATGGCTCCTATGTTTAAAATATAATTCTATTTCTGCTTAAGTTGCATAAAGTAAGTATATATATGTGTATATATAATATGTAAATTATAGTATATATATGTATATTATATATTATATAATATTGTGTGTGTGTGTGTGTGTGTGTGTGTGTGTAAGAGATAGAGGGAGAGACAGTCTCATTCTGTTGCCCAGGCTGGAGTGCAGTGGTGCAAACTCAGATCGCTGCTCCTAGGCTCAAGGGATTCTTCTGCCTCAGCCTCCCAAGTAGCTGGGACTACAGGTGCACAACACCACACTCAGCTTAATTTTTTTTTTTCTTTTTTTGGTAAAGACAGGGTTTTGCAATGATGCCCACGCTGGTCTCGAACTCCTAGCCTCAAGTGATCCACCCAACTTTGCCTCTCAAAGTGTTGGAATTATAGGCATGAATCACTGTGCCCAGCCTTACTTCTTTACGTATATATTAAGAGAGAAAATAATGCAGTACACATTTGCCTCACAGTTTATGAGTGCATAGTTTATTATTTTGCTTTCATGGATATATACATTATTTTATTTTCTCTATTATAAGAAAACTGGGAAAGAACATGTAGAGATAATAATCATCTTTTCCAGAGAAAAATGGGCTTGAGTGAATACTCAAGTTCAAATTTCTTTTTACTTACTGGGAGTAAATTATAATAATGAGCTCATATTTTATGGATTTTACTAATTATAAACCAGAAA